>NC_000002.12:49281261-49584291 GCF_000001405.40 Homo sapiens
AGGTGGAGACAAAGGGCAAAGAATGCTATAGACATCACACACTTGGGGTTAAAATTGACTTTGTTCACTGACATTATTCATTAAAATAGGCTAATAAATCTAAAATCTCATATAGAGCTTGCTAGGTGTCCAGTACTCTGAAGAATTGTTATACGTACATGCATACACACACACACACACACACACAACCCTCAGCCTTATCCTATTTATAAAAGTGGATTTGTAAAAAGTTTCATAGGTTGTACAATTACTGTACACATGAGCCAGTTATATTTGCAAAGAAAGAAATCTTTCTTGGTCCCAAGTCTACTTCTTAATATCCAATAGACAATTCTCAAATGGCTGTCCAAATGCCAAGGCAGAATTCTACAACCAGACCCAAATCCACCTTCTCTTTAAAGATGAATTTATTCACTTTTCTTTCGTTAACTTTCTTAACCTCATGAATCAACTTACACACCCTCTCTAGGATGACTTCCTTCAACCTCTGTCTGGGCTGATAACCCTTCCGTATGGATGGTGGGAATCCTGAGCTAAGCTCTAATGTATCACTTATGTTATATTGAAATTGTCTGTTTATGACATCTGTCTCCAGTGAGTTCCAGACAGGGATGATGTATTGCTCATTTATGCACCTAGTGTGACCAGGGTCTAACACAGTACCTGACACATAATTTTTGCTCATTGAATATGTGTCGAATCCAACTGAGCTTTCTACAGGGGGTCTCATCTGTCACTGAACTCGTAGAACACATTGGTGATATTTCAACAGGGGTGAAATGCCCCCTCAAGAAGGTGAATAGTAATACTTAGAAGGTGATGATAATGTAGAAATTAAAATGGTTGTATCTTCCAAAGGGCCACAGTACATAAACAGATGTACAGTATATTTTGGAATTACAAGTTCATGGCAGAGTGTGATTTTTTATTAAAATGGTTGAAAAGGCTGTTTGCCTGGTGATCGTTGATAAAAGGTTGAGAAACACTGCTTCTGAATAGTGTTTCTAGAAAAATGGCCAAGAGGACATCCCTCCAAAACCAGCTTGAGAGTTTGCTAAAATGTGGATTACAGGCTCCACTGCAGATGTTCTGCCTCACTCACTTGGTAGGTGACAGAGACTAGCACACAGTAGGTGCTCAATAAGTGTCTGCTAAATAATTGTTTGCTCTTCTAATTTCCCATTTCCAGAACAATGACAGGACACCTTTCTTGTAAAGATTCATTCTTGTCAACTAAGGTTTGCATCTTGCTGACTTATATTCATTGCATTCATTACTCAAGGAAAAGAAAATAGTCCTAGTTGATCTACTGACAATGGAAGAGCATCCACAACGTGGGAAAAATCATGCTTACTCAAATTTGGCTGGGTTAAAATGTTAAGCTGGGATAAACACCACATTCTCAGGCCCCACTGTTAACTTCAGAATGTGTGTAGGAAAGAAGTCTAAAATTCCTTTCTTTTTATCCTCAGCCAGAAGTCACTACTTCTAGAAGTTCCTACTTGCCCCATTATCACATGGCTTAACTGCTCCAAAGGGCCTCAGCTGAGCCAGGGAAATCAGCTTTTTAAAGGCAATACAAACTTGTGTGAATCACAAAGAGACACACTGAGAGTCTCTTCAGAGGGTGTCAGAAGATTATGGATTGCTTTTTTTCTATACCTAGTTGTTAATATTCCTTCCAAGGCTAGCAGTGCCTTCTTGCTTTACTCCCTTGGGTGAGCTCTTTCATCTACCTCTTCTTCCACTCTAGTTTTTCCTTCTGCTATATAACTTGATCTCTTTACTTCCTTCATTCCCATTCAGTGTGTCTGCTTTCCTTTGGGCAATTATCCTGAATTATTTAACAGTTGTTCCATTTATTTCCTGCTCATTTCATTCCCTTGTTTTCTTTCTTTGTTGGTTTGTCTGGGTTTCCTTCTGCCCACATATGCAATGCATCCAGCATTTCTCCTCTTTCTAAACCATAAACCATGGTGGATTGTATTTGAACACCAGAAAGGAGAGATGCAGCCCTATGTGGGTGGTTAGAGGAGGAGCATGCATCAGTGACTTGCTTTTAGGAGATAAATGATTTGATCGTTTTTCGGGGAGCACAGTAGGCAGCCTATAATTAGTAATGAAGATACATCTTTCCATCGATTTGCTAGACTGCACAGAACTTGGGTTCACTGTGTCTGCAGTTTTCAAATTTTTTCACTGAGCCTTTCTCCTGGCAACTCTGGGTCAAAGTAAAAAGAAAGTAATTTTGTTGTTAAGAAAAATTCTATTCTAACTTTTTGAAGTTTTTACATTTGTCAACAGCTGGAACAGTAGTTTTCAAAAGGAGAAAGTCACATATCTACAACTATCTGATCTTTGACAAACCTGACAAAAACAAGAAATGGGGAAAGGATTCCCTATTTAATAAAGCATGCTGGGAAAACTGGCTAGCCATATGTAGAAAGCTGAAACTGGATCCCTTCCTTACACCTTATACAAAAATCAATTCAAGATGGATTAAAGACTTAAACGTTAGACCTAAAACCATAAAAATCCTAGAAGAAAACCTAGGCAATACCATTCAGGACATAGGCATGGGCAAGGACTTCATGTCTAAAACACCAAAAGCAATGGCAACAAAAGCCAAAATTGACAAATGGGATCTAATTAAACTAAAGAGCTTCTGCACAGCAAAAGAAACTACCATCAGAGTGAACAGGCAACCTACAGAATGGCAGAAAATTTTTGCAACCTACTCATCTGACAAAGGGCTAATATTCAGAATCTACAATGAACTCAAACAAATTTACAAGAAAAAAATAAACAACCCCATCAAAAAGTGGGCAAAGGATATGAACAGACACTTCTCAAAAGAAGACATTTATGCAGCCAAAAGACACATGAAAAAATGCTCATCGTCACAGGCCATCAGAGAAATGCAAATCAAAACCACAATGAGATACCATCTCACACCAGTTAGAATGGCGATCATTAAAAAGTCAGGAAACAACAGGTGCTGGAGAGGATGTGGAGAAATAGGAACACTTTTACACTGTTGGTGGGACTGGAAACTAGTTCAACCCTTGTGGAAGTCAGTGTGGCCATTCCTCAGGGATCTAGAACTAGAAATACCATTTGACCCAGCCATCCCATTACTGGGTATATACCCAAAGGATTATAAAACATGCTGCTATAAAGACACATGCACAAGTATGTTTATTGCAGCACTATTCACAATAGCAAAGACTTGGAACCAAGCCAAATGTCCAACAACGATAGACTGGATTAAGAAAATGTGGCACATATACACCATGGAATACTATGCACCCATAAAAAACGATGAGTTCATGTCCTTTGTAGGGACATGGATGAAGCTGGAAACCATCATTCTCAGCAAACTATGGCAAGGACAAAAAACCAAACACTGCATGTTCTCACTCAGGTGGGAACTGAACAATGAGAACACATGGACACAGGAAGGGGAACATCACACACTGGGGCCTGTTGTGGGGTGGGGGGAGTGGGGAGGGATAGCATTAGGAGGTATACCTAAGGTTAAATGACGAGTTAATGGGTGCAGCACACCAACATGGCACATGTGTACATATGTAACAAACCTGCACGTTGTGCACATGTACCCTACAACTTAAGGTATAATAATAATAAAAAAAAGAAAATGATAAAAAGAAAACTGTAAAAATAAGGCAAGAATAAGAAAAGCCATATCAAATTGACAATTATATAAATTGGTTATATTTCCCCATTAAAAGACAGAGATGCTGAGCAGGAAAAAAGAAAAAAATCCAGCTACCTGCTATTTTGTAAGAGATGTAAAGAGATGTAAAGTGGGACAAAAGAAATATTTCATATTGGTGAAAGATATGATCCACCAAAATTATAAAACAATGTAGCTTCAGAATACATAAAGGAAAAATGGATAGAAAGCAGAGGATTTGACAAATCTACAGTGGTAACATATTTTAATGCTCTTTTCTTGGATCAGAGAGAGAAAAATTAGTAAAACTATCAAAGATTTGAATAACCCAGTTGTAAGCTTGACCATAGGTAATTTGCATTCTTTTCAAATACATGTGGGATATTTATAAAAATTTAACATGCATTAAGCCTCAAAGAGAAATCTCATTTTCTAACCGCAATGTAATAGGAACAGAAATTAACAAAAAAAGATAGTCAAAAATAAAAACAAAGAAACAGTAAACTTGAAAGTTAAAAAATTTAAAAAAAAAAAAGGAGAAAGTCCTTTTTCCACATGGCTCCTCACAAATACACATACCCTCATACACATTTGGGAAACTCCTGACATTAGATAAGTTAAGCCTTTGGTAATCTCTTCCTAAATGCTGTCTTTCCCTCCAGGAGCCTAGCCATGGAAGGCACCCAATGTATTTTCTAGGCTTCTCTCTCTAAATTGGAAGAAAAGAATATTATAGGATAAAAATGGCTCAGTATGGAATGAGAGCCTCCTACCAAGGAAGACTGCAATTAAGAGGCACAAAAAGGGAGCCTAATCCACTATAAGCATTTCAATTTTCTGGGAATCCAGTTTGGGAGAGACTTTAGAGGTAGTGACAGTTACATTGATATTCCCTAAATCCTTGCTGTTATTTTCTCCTACTTTAGCAGTAAACTGAGGAGGAACCAGCTACGGGCATTTTGATGTCATTTGCCAGATGCTGCTGCTTAGACTGCTCTTTGGCCTAACTTTGTGATAGGGATGCTACCCAATTGGGTACTTGTGAGTGCTTCATCCAAATTGACATTCCGTCTGTGGCCATTTACATCCTATTTAATCAAGTATGAAGCTTATTCATTCAACCAATATGTTCTCAGTTCCTATATGCAAAGCAAAAGGAGTCTTACTGAGTGACACAAATAAAAACAAAATCTAGTCTTGTGTCTCTGCATTCATGGCTGAGTCTCTGTCCTCTAGTAGGAGACAGAATGTATTCAGGTATTCACTAAATTGTTGTCTCTTTAGAACACCAGAGGCACATGGTGGTGTTATAGAGTATTTGTTGTGGGGAATGAGTTCCAGGGTGAAACAAACGGGGGAAACACGAAATTACACTTGGAAAATCACTGGGAAGTTAAAAAAAAAAAAGTTTATTCACTGCAAAGTCTTGCAGTAAAGTCTTTGATTTGCTAATGACATAGGAGCTGATCCTTTCAGAGTTTTTCCAGATTTTATCTTGGGAAAGGCTGCCTAGTCCAATGTGGATAGTGGTTAAGTACTACAAGAGACATATTACAACTTTGGTTTGAGTGAATAGAGGATTATTTTGATGCCTGGAAAATCAACAATTCTAGAGAGAAGATTGTATTTAAGTGGAACTCTTAAAAGATGGGTAGAATTTAGAATTGGGATTTGTGAGGGCACAACATGTAGAAGAAGGACACCTGAAGATAACATTAAAGAGGTAGGAAACGACACATACGTGAAAGATTAGGTGAGGTGGACAAAAGAATAGCTTGTGGAAAAGTCAGTGGTGGTGGATGAAGGCTGGAAAGATAAATTAAAATTCTGGAAGATTTGACTCAGATGAAGAAGACTTTTTTTTCTTTCGGTATTTGTTTTACAGTAAAAATGATAAGCACTTCCTTTCTAGTCTAAAAAGTCCTCCAAGAACAATGACCAGCACAGAGTTTAAAAGCGTAGGCAGGAAGAAGAGACTTAGTAGTTTGTGTCCTAGAACAAGCTGTGTCATATTGTACTGATCCTCTATTTTCCATCTGAAAAACATGTGGAGGATCATAATGACTCCTTGGGGTATTGTGGTCACTAAATGAATGTTCCATGTAGTATGTTTAGTACAGCATCTGATCTATATGTGTGTATGTGCGTGTATGTGTATATATTCTCCCTATATATATATAAAACCTAGCGAATATTAGTTGCTTGAGTTAATACTTCCTGTGAAGAGAAGAAAAGTATAAACAATGACTATAGGTAATTTTTTTTAAAATGTAAAACACTGGTCAATTCCATCTGCTTTGATCAGCATCTGTTAATTCTTTCATTTGTAAAGATTTCCTGTGACCCAGATTTACACCTATACTTACAAATTTTAAATATGGAAATCTGGACTCATCATGTCTAATTTTCTGTCTTTGGAAATTTTACATTTGGTAATATCTGCTCTGTCTTTACTGGGTTTGTGGTACAACCATCTCTCTTATATATTCTATAACAATCATCTCTCTTATATGTCCTATAACATGTACATACACAAACACACACACACACACACACACAGCACAAACTTATTATGAATCTTACTGACATAAAGGATGTGTGGCACATGATTTACAAATCATAGTAAAATAACCAATATTCTTTATGGTAAATTCCGTAAAGCCAATTGATTAGTATAAAATGTTTTTGTTGAAGTCGTAGACAGCCTATGATTGTATTTGATGAATAAGTATATTTCCAACCTAAATATTGGCTGAAATTTCTCTTTACATTAAAGAGAAAGATGAAAGTAAAACAATGAAAATGCATATAAAATTTGTTTATCAATGGCATAAGAAACTTTCTTGTTGAGTCAGATAAAGTTTTTTAATATTGAAAGAATATTTCTTCAACTTTTTGTGCCATTAACAATGTGAAAACTAGAGAGTGACACACATAAGTTAAATGTGCATTATTACTGTTTTCTCCATCACTTAAAAAAATCTAGACAATCAACAAAACAATAAGCTAAACCCTGATTTTAGGGTTTGCTAGTTACTGTAATATAGATACTCCCACCACGGCCAATTTGAATAAAAGTAAAATGTAGTGAGTTAATAAGGAAGTGATGGGTTTTAAGAATCTGTTTTAAATTTAATTTAGTTGGAAATTTACAGAATTTAATTTGAAATAATGATTGTGTTTAACAACTGACTTTCATAATTCCTGAAAATTTAATAGTCAGATATTGAGGGTAATCAGATATCGACACTGAGGAGTTTTTGCTAAAACTGAACTTTATAAGGAAGTGCACAGATGGGCTTGGGAGAAGGTTCTGGAGTCTGACTAGTTTGGCTGACAAAGGAACCTTTGTCACATTGAATTAGCTTGAGTTGGCATTTATGTTTATGGTACTGGGAAAATGTTCTCATGATTGAGACTTTGGAATAGCCCTCTCTCCTGCTCTTCCCTCAGCAATTTCTTGCATTGTGAAAGAAAAATTTTCTGCTTTGATTTTCCAGCACAGACCTGCCTCCACTAGTGCTATTTTAATTTGGTTCTGCAACACCCCTCAATCCTGCCTGCTCTAATCTCATCACAGCATGTTCCAATAACATTTCTTGGCTCATGTTTTTGCTACTTGGCATCAGCACCTCTAAAATGAATGCAGTATTTCATAGAGAGGCACATGATCAAGCATTAGGTAAAACATCACAACTACGGCCACTGTTTTGGGGGTATTCCGGCTTTAAGTTTCTGAAACAAATTTCATGCATGGAGATTTAGCCATTTCACTTGCATAATAATTTCACTTAATGATTAACTTGTACTTCCAATTTATGTCATCAAAATGTGTCCTTTCCAGAAAATGTCAATGATAACCTGCATGATTTATTCTTAGGACCTTCTCAAAAATGCTACATGTAAATGAGGAACATCTGAGTTTGAGGGCATCATTTCTCCAATTTGATACTTTTTATAAAGCTGCATCCCTCTCTTTGTAATGCACAAGTGACTGAGGCCAAATGGAGGAATTTTTCAAAGCCTCTCTGAAAGCAAAGAAATACAATTATCTGTATACCAACCACATCCTGCTGAGGTTAGAGTTAATTCTCATGACTAAAAATGGAGATATAAGTAGCAATTACATAGTTGTGGCTATCCACAGCACATTTAAACAATGGAAATATTAGTCCCCAGGTTTAAATACGTCTGTATTTCTCCCAGACTCCTCTTCAAAATCATGCAATAGGTTATTGGGATCTGCATTCCTAAGTTGGCTGTCCTTCAGGACAATGTTTAAAGGTATATTTCCCTATCTACACTACTTCCACTGGAATCTGCTGAACCGATCTGTGTTTTTATTTCTTAGAACATACTTATGTTTTTCAATTTAAACTGTGTTGGTTTTTTCTTTTCAGTCCCCTATTACAAAGGCTTTTCTGCAATGTCATTCCAAACTACAACACAGTGATTATTTATATCATTGGCAGCTTGTCAGTGCCTCTCATGTGTTTGGGGTTCTTTTCTTTTCCCTCCTCCCCATCTTATGCAAAGACAAATGTTATCCCTCATCTTAAAGGTTAATATGGATGGTGAAATCCCATGATCTCAAAGGCAGTGCAGTAATTTTTATAAGCATCAATACCTGCATTGTTTACAGAGTACAGCAGGGATGAGTTTGCTCATTACCACATGCAGACTGAGAAAATTAGGACAAGTGCATGCTTAATCATTTCCCAAAGAAACAGAAATGCTATCTTCCTCAAATGTTCCTCTGAGAAGGATGTACTGAATGTTAAAAATATAGGTATCCAATTACCAGATGAAAACTGAGCTACATATTCACTGTATCCTTCATCTAAAAAGTTCCATACATAAGGACCTTGCCATATTTTCAGACTTTTTCCCCTTCCATGTATCTCTCTGAGCAATTAAGTGATTTGCCTACTGGCAGTTCAATAAGCTTTTGATAGAATGGACCCATTTATTGTAAAGAAATATGCCTAAGGCTCCCTCTGGGACTCATAGCTAAGGCATGGGTAGTGTAAATATAATATGGGGTAATATTCAAATGTTGGAGTCAAGTGTTCACCCGTCTCCTGGAATGATTTTTCTCCAACCGATCAACTGTGACTCTTTGCAGGGATAAAACAATGGCCACTATAAAAATGCAAAATATTGAATACTCATCTTAAATCTGTCTAATTTCTCTCAATCTCCATAACCAAACTCATCTCTATTATTGTAATAACTTCCTAATTAGTTTGTTTGCTGTTTATGTTTGTTGTTTATGAAAGATTTGTTTCTCTGTGACCAGGGGGTAACTCAGTGACATGCGGTCATTGTGCATTGGTGCATAGAGGCTTCTCCACCATGTCTTCAGCTATACACATTTCATTGTGCAGATATTCCATGGTTTGCTTAACTGGTCCTTATCTGTAACCACCTTAGTTGTTATCAATCAATTGCTGCTACAAAAAATGCTGTAACTTTACATAAACATAATTTCATGTAGCTAGAAATATAAATTCCCCCAAATAAGGTTGCTGGGTTAAAAGGAAAATGTATACTGTGTGTTGAATTTTGTCTCTAAAAAGTTATGTTCAAGTCCTAACATTTAGAACCCATGAATGTGGCTTTAGTTGGAAATAGGATCTCTGAAGATTTAATCAAGTTAAGATAAGGTTGTACTGGGGTAGGCTGGGCCATAATTCAATGACTGGTGCCCTTATAAGAAGAGAGAAGATTGGACAGAGATATACAGGGAAAAACACTGTGAATATGAAGGCAGAGACTGGAGTGATGCATCTACCAACCAAGGAACAGCAAGGATTTCCAGCAACCACCAGATGCTAGTAAGAGGCAAGGAAGGATTCTTCCCCAGCACCTTGATTTCAGACTTCTAGCCTCCAGAACTGTGACATAATAAATTTCTGTTGTTTTAAGCAACCAAATTTGTGGCACTCAGTTATGGCAACCCTAGGAAACTAATACAATACCTTTGTAATTTTGACAACTATTTCTAGATTATGCTTCATGGACATTGTATCATGCTGTCCTCTCACTAGCAAAGCAAGGCAATGGTTCCTGTCCTTCAGCCTCACCAGCAGAGGGTAATGTTAAACTTCTGGATAACTTATTATCATCTATCGGATAGGCATCAAGGTAGTTTTCATCAGTGTAGTTTTAATTTATCATCAGTATAGTTTTAATTAATATTTTCCTTCTTATGAGTAAGTGTTTTGTCATATGTTTAAGGGCTATTAATATCTCTTTTTCTGTGAATACTCTGTTTATATTTTTTGTCATTTTTTTACTGTTTAGCTATTGTTTTGTTTCAATTCGTAATTATATTAGAGGATTAATTCTTTGTGGCAGATTTTGTAAACATCTTTTCCACTTTATCATTTGTCCTTTAAAATACCAATTCACTAAATTTTTGTTTAGACTAATTTATTAATAATTTGTGTGGGTTCTGGAATTTGAATTGGAAAGATTTCTCTACTCCCAGTTTATAAAGGAATTCATCCATGATCTTTTTTTTTTTTTTCATCAAAGCAGTTCATTGGAAATTTTGAAAGGATAAAGTTGGATCCAACTTTATCTTTTTCCAGATGGTACATAGTTTATTTCAACACCATTTATGCTTGAAATGTTACCTTTATCATATACTGAATTCTCATATATGTTTGGATCTATTTCTGGGAATTCTATTTTGTTATATTGGCCTGACTTTCTATTCATGTGCCAATAGAAACCTGCCTTACTTTTTGAAGTTCTGAATGTGTTTGAATGTGTAAGCCATCTAGTCAATTTTACCACTCACTCTCTCTAACGCACCCACTCCAATTAAGCCTCCATCTACATCACTTTACCCAAACTGCAGCCATCAAGATTTCCAATGAACCCCATGTGGCTAAGACAAATGGTTGGTTCTCAGCCCTCAACTAACTAGATTCGTTCGTCAGTGACATTTGACATAGTTGAAGAATTCCTCCTGAAAATACTTTCTTCAGTTACAGTCTTCTCTCTTGGTTATCTTACTACTTCACTGGTTGTTTCTTCTTAATCTCCTTGCACATTCTTTTCATTTCTCTGACCTGCAAGCCCCATGGCTTAGTCTTCTGACATCTCTATTCTCTCCATACTCACTTTCTGAATGATCCCATTTAGGGATAGTACATTAAATACCATCTGTATCCTAAAGACTACCATATTTTATATCTTTAACCAGGTCGTCTCCCATGAACTCAAGGCTCATACATTTAATTGTTTATTCAATGTTTCTACTTGTACTTAAAAATTACTCTCTTGAAGACTCCATTCACAATTTCCCTCTACCAAATATGTTCCTTTTTTAAAAAAACAAAACAAAACAAAACAAAAATCTTAACTCTTTTTTCCCTCTCACACCTCACATCTATTACATAAGCTAATCCTGTCAGTTCTAACTTCAAAATATTTCTGGAACCCAACCTCTTCTCAACATCTTCACTGCTAAGTTCTGGTCAAAGTCCAGTCCTCTTTTGAGAGGACTGCTGTAATATCCTCCTGCCTGGTCTCTGCCTCACCATATAGTCTATTCTTCCCACTGCAGTCAGATTCTTTAGAAGACATAAGTCAGATCATGTTGCTTTTCTGCTTAAAATTCTCCACAGGAATATCCATCTCGCTTAGAGCAAAGGAAAGGCCAAAGTCTTTGTCATGACCCAAAGACCCTAAAATAATGTGAGTTTCACGATGACCTGATCTCCTTCCACACTTTCATATTCATTTCCAGCTGCAATGCCTCCTTGTTGTTTCTCATACCTGCTAGCTACTCTTTAATATTTTATTTCATTAAATCATCACAATTCTACCATGTGGGGATCATCCTCGCTTTGCAGCTGATAAAGGGACACACAGAGAGTATACTATTCTTCCCAAGTCTGTACCATTAGTAGTAGAAGAACAAGGCCTCTGATATGGTTTGGTTCTGTGTCCCCACCCAAATCTCACCTTGAATTGTAATTCCCCAAGTCCCCACGTGTCAAGGGTGGGACAAGGTGGAGGTAATTGGATCATGGGGGTGGTTTCCCCCATGCTGTTCTTGTAATAGTGAGTTCTCATGAGATCTGATGGTTTTATAAGTGTCTGGCATGTTCCCTGCTTGCACTCACTCCGTTCTGCTGCCCTGTGAAGAAGGTGCCTGCTTCTCCTTGGCCTTCTGCCCTGATTGTAAGTTGCCTGAGGGATTCTGCAGCAATGCAGAACTGTGAGTCCATTAAACCTCTTTTCTTTATAAATTACCCAGTCTCAAGTATTTCTTCATAACAGTGTGAGAATGGACTAATACAGCCTCTAACGTAGATCTCTTTAGAAGTTAATTCTAAATACTTTACTTCCTTTTGAGACAAGTTCTCTCTCTTGACCAGGCTGGAGTGCAGTGGTATGATCTCAGCTCACTGGGGTCAAGCAGTTCTCCCACCTCAATCTCCTGAGTAGCTGGGACTACAGGTATGTGCCACCACACCCAACTAATATTTGTGTATACACACATTTATTTATTTATTTATTGGTAGAGACAAGGCCTCACTATATTGCCCAGGCTCTTCTTGAACTCCTGGCTCAAGCGATGCACCCATGTCAGCCACCCAAACATCTAGGTTTATAGGTGTGAGCCACCACACCCAGACAATTCTTCCTATTATAGGAAATTTCTGGTTTGTAGTTATATCTATGTTGCTGTGTTACCTGGAGCACCACCCTGAGTAACATAACTTGGCCACCTGGAGCACCTCTCTGAGTAACATAACTTGGCCTTAGTTTATTCACCTACAAAATGAGGACTTTGGTCTAAGTGTTCTCAAATTTCCTACTCACTCAGAGGCTTAATAATTTCATGACTCTGGAATAGTCCCTGATACTTCTCAAAGAGAAGTTATTAGTGATTTTGCTGAGATGAGGAGAATGAAACAAAATATGAGAAGACATCAGTACAGAGAAAAACTTACTATAGCAGAAGTGAAGAGGTACTAAATGCATGTTTTTTATTACTCAGGAATTTTTTTTCTAGGTCTGTCCCTCTCAATTGTGGGGCATTTCAATTCAGTGTCCATATGTCAGTAAAATAACTTGCCTTTACCTGTTACTCTTTTCATCACCTCCATTTTCAGATCAGACAGTCAGCATGTGGAGAAAGGAGAAAACTTATTTTTATCCAGGCTCATGAAGCTTAAAAGAACTGTTTCCATTTCTTAAGTTTAGAAGGTTTATATAGCAACTCATCTCCCTAATTCTGCTTATAGTCAGGATAAAAGTTAAGTCACTCCAAAAGATAATGGTATACCTATAATCTACTATCTCAGTATCAATTCCATCAGAGGGCCAAGGGGACAACACATTGGTTCCTGACTCTAAATCTATCCATGCTATCATACCAACATTCCTGCATCCTACTCACCTGAGGCAACTCTTCCATAGCTTCTCTAGGGTTTGTCAGGTGGCTATGACATCATCCACTTGGGTTTAGTGCTGCTCTTGCCATTTCCTTGTGATGTAATTTGCTCTGTCTATAGTTGATGCTCCTCTCTCCTAAGGCCTGACTCTATAGGCTTGGGGGCAAGGCCTTCTCCAACTTTCTCCAATCTTTTACCTCTAGTCTCCTACAGTGCTATTCACACTATCATTCTTTATCTTACATTCATGACGAATTGTTTTTTCCTTCTAGGAACCTGAATGGTTTCATTAGAGACTAGGATAGAAGCTAATTTGATAGAGTATAACGTATTACTGCTCCATGCTTCTGTGGAAGAAATAAAACTACTCAACTTGGGGAGTACACAAGAATTGCTGAATTTTTTTGTTGTTGTTTCTTTTAAATCAGATTAAATCTAACTCAGAGCCTCAGTCCACATACATAACAAAAAATGTAAGCTCACTTTTCACTGAGGAGCCCTCCATGAGCTGAAATAAGCAAAGTTTCTCATTTAGAGATTTTACATGATCAAAAGAGTACCTAGGTCCAACTTTCTGAGATCTCATGGCTGAAATAGCTGGTCAGGGAGCTGCATTTATATGCACTGTGATGTGACTGGAAGCCCTGGGGATGAGCAAATATTTTTTAAAAAGTATACGTAAAATAATAAAAGAAATAATGAGTAGATGATTCCAGATGCTCTTTCTGTATAACTGTGATCCCCACTTTCCTTTAGAATCAGTCCAAATTCCCCACATCTCTGTTTTCTGTGGTCTGCACAGTGGTCAATGACACTGTAACATAAGACCAGAGAGCTCTGTGCTTTACCTGTCATAGCCCACTACCCTGGTGGGTAGGTAGAGGCCATTGTTTCTCCCACTTTACAGAGATACAGACATTTTAAGTAATTGGTGCAAGGTTACACAGAGATTAAATAGCACAGCGAGGATTTGAGCCCAGATGCTGTGGCGCCAGAGTTCACCCTCTCAACACATGCCACTGTTAATCTCACATCAGCCCAAGAAGTTGGCAGTCTTCTGACTCCCACTTTACAACAGCAGAACTGAGGCAGGTGTGGGCTCTCTCTTGCTCATAATTACGCACCTATGAAAGGGAGAATGGAGTCCAGACCCAAGCCTAGATCTTCCAATCCCATAGCCCTCATTTTTGGTTTCTCTTTAATCCTTGCTGCTATAGACCGGTTGTTTCTTTGAATAAACAAAATTCATATGTTAATACTAATCCTCAATGGGATGATATTTGGAGGCAGGGCCTTTGGGAGTTGATTAGGTTATGAGGGTAGAGGCCTCATAAAAGGGATTAGTGTTCTCATAAAAGAGACCCGAGATAGCCTGCTTGCTTTCCTTGCCATGTGAGAACACAGTAAAAAAGACTGCTATCTATGAACCAGGACACTGTGACAGTGCCTTGATATTGGACTTCTCCGCTTCCAGAACTGTGAGAAATCATTGTCTGTTGTTTATAAGTCACTCAGTCTGTATAGTTTGTTATAGAAGCCCAAAAAGACCGAGACACCTGCTTTTCTCTTCGTTCCTCTTGTTTTAGAAAAAAGCAGATTCCCTTGAGAGGGGTAATGGGGCACTCTGTTTGCTGTGTATCCCTGAGCTCACTCTTACATGCAGAGATGAGTCCAGGTGGGAGCAGCAGGGGTAGGAAACCTGTGCAGCGGAGGAGCCCAAGGGGATCCAGTGACTAAGGTCACCTGTGCCTCGTGCATGCTTCACTACGACCCTATTTCTTAGCATTTATAATCAGACACAGGCCAACAAGATGTAGACAAATACCTAGAGAGATAGAGACATCCCTTGCAGAGCACACCAAGAGAGAATACTCTGTCTCGAGCCAGCCTAAAAATATACTCTGTTTACAGCACATACACCCTCCCTCGTGCTGCAGTATCTCAGAAACAGAGGCAGAATTTAATCATCCCATCCTCTGATGTGAAGGTGTCTATGGTTTAATATGCACACATCACAGATTTCAAATTTTGCTGTGGAAATTCAGTCTTCAACAAAAACCTAGCTGTCTCTTTGACTTGAAATGTGTTCTAAAATGTATAATAAAGGTCTACTGAAACCAATAAAGCATCTCCAGAAAATGCTGGTTTAACTCACACAGCCAATTCTCTTTTTCATAAATTCAATTTGTATTATTTGGTTGAAGAGACTGTTCTCTGAGCCCTGACACAAGTGAGTGCTGAGGCTGCTGACACTCAGTCCAGAGTCTGCATGGACAAAAAAATCTCTGGGAAAAAAAAAATCACGTATAATAATTGATCTCATTTGTTTGGTTTGTCAGGCCCTGCCTGGCTCTACCTCCCTGCACGCCTTTTCTCTCCACTGCTGAAAGCTGCTTGACCAACAGGGTTGGTCCTTCTATAATCCCTGGATCCAAGAAACTCCAGTCCACCTCTGGTTGGGATGGAATTGTGTGTGTGTGTGTGTGTGTGTGTGTGTGTGTGGTGGAGGGGGCTTGGCCCTGGAAGGCACTGCTTCTGGAGTGTGCCCTAGTTCTCATAAATAAACCCATGTTGTTTCTGAGACCTAGTCCTCACATTGTATATTGATTCTAGCACAGAACTCCCAGCTCCTTATGCTCAAGTCCCTGTTTGCCTTCCTGTTTAGTTCCCTAATTCTGTACAGAATGGAGAAACCCACCTGCTTATGCTAATCTTAACCTTGACACTATTCGTATTTTGGGCCTGATAACTCTACTGTGGGAGCTGTCCTGTGCATTGCAGGCTGTTTGGCAACATCCTTGCCCCTACCCACTAATACCAGTAGTATCGTTACCCCAGTCATGACCGTCAAAAATGTCTTCAGACATTGGCGAATGTGCCCCAGAGGGGGCAAAGCATATTGGTGCTGGTTAAGAATTCGTGTTTTAATTCAATCCAGGGATAAGCACACTGTCTTTGTACGCCAGTGTGGTTGCCAGCAATTGCCAAGAGGCTTCTATGACCTCAGGGCTGACGAATACAATACAATATAAGCCCTGAACGTGAATCACCAATGTCATTTTAAATTTTCTAGTTACTAGGCGTCGTGGCTCACATTTATAATTTCAGCAATTTAGGAGGCCAAGGCAGGAGGATCCCTTGAGCCCAGGAGTTTGAGACCAGTCTGGATAACACAGTGAGACCTCGTCTCTAGAGAAAAAAAAAAGAAATTAGCCATATGTGGTGGCTCATGCCTGTAGTCCCAGCTACTCTGGAGGCTGAGGCAGAAGGACTGCTTGAGCTGGGGATGATGAAGCTGCAGTGAACTGTGATCACACCACTGCATTTGAGCTTGGGTGACAGAGTGAGACCATGTCTCAAAAACAAATAAATAAATATAAATAAGTAAGCAAAATTTCTAGTAGATACATTAGCAAAGCAAAAAGGAATAGGTAAAATTTATTTTCATGCTATATTTTATTTTATCCAACACATTCAAATTATTATTCTTATTTCTATTGGTAAGTCTTCAACATCAGGTGTGTATATTATGTTTATAGCACATCTCAATTTGGATTAGACATATTTCAAGTGCTGAGTAGCCATATATGGCCAGTGGCTACTGTATGGGCAGCACTAATGTAGATTTCTAAAACACCCACTCCTCTTCAATTCATTCTGAGTATCAGAATCTTAAAGTGATAAGCCCCAGTAAGCATGGGGCTTTTGTGTCAGGAGTACCTGGTTTAAATATTTCTATATCTGACACTGTGAGCTTGAAATAATTAATTGATGTCTTTGAAGCCCAGCTTCAATATTTGTGCTAGGGAAATAATAACAGTTATTCTCTAAAGAGCTGTTATAAGAGTGACATGAAATAATGTACACAGTGCCTGGTATAGAGCGGACACTTAAGAAGTGGGATAGCTGTTTTCTGAACCTTTGCTATCATCAGAGAAGTTGAGTATTTAGTTCCCCTAGTCTAGCCTCTTGCTTGAAGCAACACTCATGCTCCATCTTTTGGACACCATGCTCTATGCTTAACTGGACACTCGGTGTGCTTGCAAAAGATTGCATCATCCCAAAGAATTCAAGATTATTCTCTCGAGGGAGGGCATTCCAAGATGGCCGAATAGGAACAGCTCTGGTCTGCAGCTCCCAGAGTGATCGACGCAGAAGATGGGTGATTTCTTCATTTCCAACTGCGGTACCTGGTTCATCTCACTGGGACTGGTTGGACAGTGGGTGCAGTCCATGGAGGGCAAGCTGAAGCAGGGTGGGGCATCACCTCACCCAGGAAGCACAAGGGGTCAAGGGATTTCCCTTTCCTAGCCAAGGGAAGCCGTGACAGACTACCTGGAAAAACAGGACACTCCCCACCCAAAGACTGCACTTTTCCCAAGGTCGTAGCAACCGGCATACAAAGTGATTCTCTCCCATGCCTGCCTTGGTGGGTCCCATACCCACAGAGCCTTGCTCACTGCTAGCCCAGCAGTCTGAGATGTATCTGCAAGGCAGGCAGCAGCCTGGCTGGGGAGGGGCATCTGCCATTGCTGAGGCTTGAGTAGGTAAACAAAGCAGCCAGGGAGGCTCGAACTTGGCAGAGCTCACCACAGCTCAACAAGGCCTACTGTCTCTAGACTCCACCTCTGTGGGCAGGGCATAGCTGAACAAAAGGCAGCAGACAACTTCTGCAGACTTAAACGTCCCTGTCCCACAGCTCTGAAGAGAGCAGGGGTTCTCCCAGCACAGCATTTGAATTCTGAGAACAGACAGACTGCCTCCTCAAGTGGGTCCCTGACCCCCATGTAGCCTAACTGGGAGACACCTCCCAGTAGGGGCTGACAGACACCTCATATAGGTGGCTGCCCCTCTGGGACAAAGCTTCCAGAGGAAGGATCAGGCAGCAATATTTGCTGTTCTGCAATATTTACTGTTCTATAGACTCTGCTGGTGATACCCAGGAAAATGCGGTCTGCAGTGGAACTCCAGCAAACTTCAACAGACCTGCAGCTGAGGGACCTGACTGTTAGAAAGAAAACTAACAAACGGAAAGCAACAGCATCAACTTCAACAAAAAGGTCATCTACACCAAAACCCCATCTGTAGGTCACCAACATCAAAGACCAAAGGTAGATAAAACCACAAAGATGGGGAGAAACCAGAGCAGAAAAGCAGAAAATTCTAAAAACCAAAGAGCCTCTTCTCCTCCAAAGGATTGCAGCTCTTTACCAGCAATGGAATAAAGCTGGACGGAGAATGACTTTCACAAGTTGATAGAAGTAGGCTTCAGAAGGTCGGTAATAACAAACTTCTCTGAGCTAAAGGAGGATGTTCGAACCTATCACAAGGAAGCTAAAAACCTTGAAAACAGATTAGATGAATGGCTAACTAGAATAAACAGTGTAGAGAAGACCTTAAATGACCTGAAGGAGCTGAAAACCATGGCACGAGATCTTCATGATGCATGCACAAGCTTCAATAGACGATTTGATCAAGTGGAAGAAAGGGTAACAGTGACTGAAGATCAAATTAATGAAATAAAGTGAGAAGACAAGGTTAGAGAAAAAAGGGTAAAAAGAAACAAACAAAGCCTCCAAGAAATATGGGACTATACGAAAAGACCACATCTACATTTGATTGGTGTACCTGAAAGTGATGGAGAGAATGGAACCAAGTTGGAAAACACTCCTCAAGATATTATCCAGGAGAACTTCCCCAATCTAGCAAGGCAGGCCAACATTCAAATTCAGGAAATACAGAGAACACTACAAAGATACTCCTCGAGAAGAGCAACCCCAAGACACATAATTATCAGATTCACCAAGGTTGAAATGAAGGAAAAAGTGTTAAAGGCAGCCAGAGAGAAAGGTCGAGTTACCTACAAAGGGAAGCCCATCAGACTAACAGCGGATATCTCGGCAGAAATCCTACAAGCCAGAAGAGAGTGGGGGCCCATATTCAACATTCTCAAAGAAAAGAATTTTCAACCCAGAATTTCATATCCAGCCAAACTAAGCTTCATAAGTGAAAGAGAAATAAAATCCTTTACAGACAAGCAAATGCTGAGAGATTTTGTCACCACCAGGCCTGCCTTACAAGAGCTCCTGAAGGAAGCACTAAATATGGAAAGGAACAACCGGTGCCAGCCACTGCAAAAACTTGCCAAATTGTAAAGACCATTGATGCTAGGAAGAAACTGCATCAATTAACAGGCAAAATAACCAGCGAACATCATAACGACAGGATCAAATTCACATATAGCAATATTAAACTTAAATGTAAATGGGCTAAATGCCCCAATTAAAAGACACAGACTGGCAAATTGGATAAAGAGTCAAGACCCATCAGTGTGCTGTATTCAGGAGCCTCATCTCATGTGCAAAGATGAACATGGGCTCAAACTAAAGGGATGGAGGAATATTTACCAAGCATACGGAAAGCAAAAACAAGCAGGCATTGCAATCCTAGCCTCTGATAAAACAGACTTTAAACCAACAAAGATCAAAAGTGACAAAGAAGGCCATTACATAATGGTAAAGGGATCAATTCAACAAGAAGAGCTAACTATCCTAAATGTATATGCACCCAATATCGGAGCACCTAGATTCAAAAAGCAAGTCCTTAGAGACCTACAAGGAGACATAGACTCCCACACAATAATAATGGGAGACTTTAACACCCCAATGTCAATATTAGACAGATCAATGAGACAGAATTAACAAAGATATCCAGGAATTGAACTCAGCTCTGCAACAAGCAGACCTAACAGACATCTATAGAACTCTCCACCCCAAGTCAACAGAATATACATTTTCCTCAGCACCACCTTGCATTTATTCTGAAATTGACCACATAATTGGAAGTAAAGCACTCCTCAGCAAATGTAAAAGAAAAGAAATCACAACAAACTATCTCTCAGGCCACAGTGCAATCAAATTACAACTCAGGATTAAGAAACTCACTCAAAACTGCACAACGACATGGAAACTGAACAACTTGCTCCTGAATGACTACTGGGTAAATAATGAAATTAAGGCAGAAATAAAGGCATTCTTTGAAACCAATGAGAACAAAGACACAACATACCAGAATCTCTGGGACACATAAAGCAGTGTGTAAAGGGAAATTTAGAGCACTAAATGCCCACAGGAGAAAGCAGATAAGATCTAAAATTGACAGCCTAATATCACAATTAAAAGAACTAGAGAAGCAAGAGCAAACACATTCAAAAGCTAGCAGAAGGCAAGAAATAACTAAGATCGGAGCAGAACAGAAGGAAATAGAGACACAAAGAACCCTTCAAAAAATCAATTAATCCAGGAGCTGATTTTTTGAAAAGGTCAACAAAATTGATAGACCACTAGCAAGACTAATAAAGAAGAAAAGAGAGAAGAATCAAATAGATGCAATAAAAAATGATAAAGGGGATATCACCACCAATCCCACAGAAATACCAAGTACCATCAGAGAATACTATAAACATCTCTACGCAAATAAACTAGAAAATCTAGAAGAAATAGATAAATTCCTAGACACATACACCCTCCCAAGACTAAACCAGGAAGAAGTTGAATCTCTGAATTGACCAGTAACAGGCTCTGAAATAGAGGCAATAATTAATAGCCTACCAACTAAAAAAAGTCCAGGATGAGATGGATTCACAGCCGAATTCTACCAGAGGTACAAAGAGGAGCTGGTACTATACTATTCCTTCTGAAACTATTCCAATCAATAGAAAAAGAGGGACTCCTCCCTAACTTACTTTACGAGGCCAACATCATCCTGATACCAAAGCCTGGCAGAGACACAACAGAAAAAGAGAATTTTAGACCAATATCCCTGATGAAAATCAATGCAAAAATCCTCAATAAAATACTGGCAAACCGAATCCAGCAGCACATCAAAAAGCTTATCCACCATAATCAAGTGGGCTTCATCCCTGGGATGCAAGGGTGGTTCAATGTACGCAAATCACTAAATATAATCCATCACATAAACAGAAACAATGACAAAAACCACATCATTATCTCAATAGATGCAGAAAAGGCCTTCGACAAAATTCAACAGCCCTTCATGCTAAAAACTCTCAATGAACTAGGTATTGATGGAACGTATCTCAATATAATAAGAACTATTTATGACAGACCCGCAGCCAATATCATACTGAATGTGCAAAAACTGGAAGCATTCCCTTTGAAAACAGGCACAAGACAAGGATGCCCTCTCTTACCACTCCTATTCAACATAATGTTGGAAGTGCTGGCCAGGGCAATCAGGCAAGAGAAAGAAATGAAGGGTATTCAATTAGGAAAAGAGGAAATTAAATTTTCCCTGTTTGCAGATGACATCATTGTCTATTTAGAAAACCCCATTTTCTCAGCCCCAAATTTCCTTAAGCTGATAAGCAACTTAAGCAAATTCTCAGGATACAAAATCAATGTGCAAAAATCACAAGCATTCCTATACATCATAAACAGACAAACAGAGAGCCAAATCATGAGTGAACTCCGATTCACAATTGCTACCAAGAGAATAAAATACCTAGGAATCCACCTTACGAGGGATGTGAAGGATCTCTTCAATGAGAACTACAAACCACTGCTCAATGAAATAAAAGAGGACACAAACAAATGGAAGAACATTCCATGCTCATGGACAGGAAGTATCAATATTGTGAAAACAGCCATACTGCCCAAAGTAATTTATAGATTCAATGCCATTCCCATCAAGCTCCAACTGACTTTCTTCACAGAATTGGAAAAAACTGCTTTGAAGTTCATGTGGATACAAGGCTACAGTAACCAAAACAGCATGGTACTGGTACCAAAACAGAGATACTCACCAATGGAACAGAACAGAGCCCTCAGAAATAATGTCAGACATCTACAACTATCTGATCTTTGACAAACCTGAGAAAAACAAGCAATGGGGAAGGGATTCCCTATTTAATAAATGGTGCTGGGAAAACTGGCTAGCCATATGTAGAAAGCTGAAATTGGATCCCTTCCTTACACCTTATACAAAAATTAATTCAAGATGGATTAAAGACTTAAATGTTAGACCTAAAACCATAAAAACCCTAGAAGAAAACCCAGGCAATACCATTCAGGATATAGGCATGGGCAAGGACTTCATGACTAAAACACCAAAAGCAATGGCAACCAAAGCCAAAATTGACAAATGGGATCTAATTAAACTAAAGAGCTTCTGCACAGCAAAAGAAACTACCATCAGAGTGAACAGGTAACCTACAGAATGGGAGAAAATTTTTGCAATCTACCCATCTGACAAAGGGCTAATATGCAGAATCTACAAAGAACTCAAACAAATTTACAAGAAAAAAACAAACAACCCCATCAAAAATTGGGCAAAGGAAATGAACAGACACTTCTCAAAAGAAGATATTTATGCAGCCAACCAACACATGAAAAAATGCTCATCATCACTGACCATCAGAGAAATGCAAATCAAAACCACAATGAGATACCATCACACGCCAGTTAGAATGGCGATCATTAAAAAGTCAGGAAACAACAGGTGCTGGAGAGGATGTGGAGAAATAGGAACACTTTTACACTGCTGGTGGGAGTATAAAGTGGTTCAGCCACTGTTGAAGACAGTGTGGCAATTCCTCAAGGTTCTAGAACTAGAAATACCATTTGACCCAGCAATCCCATTACTGGTTATATACCCAAAGGATTATAAATCATGCTGCTGTAAAGACACATGCACACATGTTTATTGCAGCACTATTCACAACAGCAGACTTGGAACCAACCCAAATGTCCATCAGTGATAGACTGGATTAAGAAAATGTGGCACATATACACCATGGAATACTATGCAGCCATAAAAATGGATAAGTTCATGTCCTTTGCAGGGACATGGATGCTGCTGGAAACCATCATTCTGAGCAAACTATCACAAGGACAGAAAACCAAACACCGCATGTTCTCACTCATAGGTGAGAATTGAACAATGAGATCACTTGGACATAGGGTGGGGAACATCACACACTGGGGCCTGTAGAGGGGATGTGAGGGGCTGGGGGAGGGATAGCATTAGGAGAAATACCTAATGTAAATGATGAGTTGATGGGTACAGCAAACCAACATGGCACATGCATACCTGTATCAAACCTGCACATTGTGCACATGTACCCTAGAACGTAAAGTATAGTAATTAAAGAAAAGAACAAAGGAAGTTACCAAAAAAAAAAAGATTACTCTCTCTTGTTCCTGCCCACTTGCTGTTAATTAAGCCATGTTTAGCTCTGTCTAAGAAAAACGGCAATTAAAAAAAAAAAACTGAGCTTTCTGTTTATTTTTATTTAAACTGATACTTGCTCTTGTTACTACAAGTCAAATAACACGACGTAAAAAAAAGAAAGTTCTTGAATGCATCTTCTCCATTAAGCAGGGTCACGTGTACAGAACAATCTATTAAGCCACAGTAACAGTACTATATTGCTGGCAGGTTTCCTCTGCAGAGACACACAGTCGACATTTTGGCTCCTGTTAAGAAGAGAACAGAACAGAACAGATCCCTCAGAAATAACTCCACATATCTACAACTATCTGATCTTTGACAAACCTGAGAAAAACAAGAAATGGGGAAAGGATTCCCTATTTAATAAATGGTGCTGGGAAAACTGGCTAGCCATATGTAGAAAGCTGAAACTGGATCCCTTCCTTACACCTTATACAAAAATTAATTCAAGATGGATTAAAGACTTAAACGTTAGATCTGAAACCATAAAAACCCTAGAAGAAAACCTAGGCATTACCATTCAGGACATAGGCATGGGCAAGGATTTCATGTCTAAAACACCAAAAGCAATGGCAACAAAAGCCAAAATTGACAAATGGGATCTAATTAAACTAAAGAGCTTCTGCACAGCAAAAGAAACTACCATCAGAGTGAAAAGGCAACCTACAAAATGGGAGAAAATTTTCACAACCTACTCATCTGACAAAGGGCTAATATCCAGAATCTACAATGAACTCAAACAAATTTACAAGAAATAAACAACCCCATCAAAAAGTGGGCGAAGGATATGAACAGACACTTCTCAAAAGAAGACATTTATGCAGCCAAAAAACACATGAGAAAATGTTCACCATCACTGGCCATCAGAGAAATGCAAATCAAAACCACAATGAGATACCATCTCACACCAGTTAGAATGGCAATCATTAAAAAGTCAGGAAACAACAGGTGCTGGAGAGGATGTGGAGAAATAGGAACACTTTTACACTGTTGGTGGGACTGTAAACTAGTTCAACCCTTGTGGAAGTCAGTGTGGCGATTCCTCAGGGATCTAGAACTAGAAATACCATTTGACCCAGCCATCCCATTACTGGGTATATACCCAGTGGATTATAAATCATGCTGCTATCAAGACACATGCACATGTATGTTTATTGCGGCACTATTCACAATAGCAAAGACTTAGAACCAAGCCAAATGTCCAACAATGATAGACTGGATTAAGAAAATGTGGCACATATACACCATGGAATATTATGCAGCCGTAAAATACGATGAGTTCATGTCCTTTGTAGGGACATGGATGAAATTGGAAATCATCATTCTCAGTAAATTATCGCAAGAACAAAAAACCAAACACCGCATATTCTCACTCATAGGTGGGAAATGAACAATGAGAACACATGGACACAGGAAGGGGAACATCACACTCTGGGGACTGTTGTGGGGTGGGGGGAGGGGGGAGGGATAGCTTTAGAAGATATACCTAATGCTAAATGACGAGTTAATGGGTGCAGCACACCAGCATGGCACATGTATACATATGTAACTAACCTGCACATTGTGCACATGTACCCTAAAACTTAAAGTATAATAAAAAAACAAAGAAAGAAATGGTGAGAGGCTCATGGATATGACCTCAAATCTGAAGTGAAGGCAGAGTTGGAATGGAGTTTAGAGCAAATAGAAATATTGGAGTAATTCGTGCTCATGGCCAGCTCCTTCAAAGCGCTGAAGTGTATAGAATGGCTGCAAGGAAAGACCTGAGCTTCTCTGTCTTGTGATGAAAGTGAGTTTTGTTTTTCTAAAACAAACCAGTTCTCTGCCCAAATTTACATTTTTATAGATGCACATAGATTTTCAACCTCTAAAATATTTTGGTTAAGATGTTTTCAAAATAATAAATCTTCAAAATAAAAAAAAAAAAGAGAACAAATGGCTGGACCAATTTGGCTAGATAAATGGTTAAGTAATCCACCCATTTTTTGTTCTAATGAGTGGGATGCGTAAAAGATATAAACTTAGTATAATATCAAAGACACCCCACATTAAAAGTATATCTTTAAAAAGTATAGCTATTACATTTTCATTTACATTTAGTTCAGAACTCGTATCCAGGAGTAGTGGGGTTAACTGCTTATGATAGGAAGCTTACAGTCTTTCTGTGCAGTATTTATTTCTTCATAGTTTTCCTACCTGTGCAGGAGATTTCCTCCTTTCTTCTGTGTAAATCCCTTTTCACTTGTGTGCAAACATGAACTGTTCAGCACAATGTGCTAATTAAAACACCCATTTTGCTTGAGTGGTCTTCGTCAAAGGCTTAAAGAAAGCTTGTGTTTTGCCTGGATCGCCTTGAGATTACTGTGAGAAACCTATCAGGATTAGTTGAGAGACATATTCTAAGTGTCTACAATTTGTCAGGCACTGAGGTTACCCAGATGATTAAAGGACAGTTTGTACTCTCAAGAACTTCATGGCCCAGGAGGAAGCAGCGTGTAAATAAATGATCAAAGAGGATATGTGACTCATAATGTACAGGACACTGGGAGCACAAACAGAGGGACAGCTTTTTATTCATTCACATCTTTATTGATCATCAAGTATGGGATAGACAGGCACAGGGTGGTGAGGAAAAGTGACAGTAAAAATAAAAGATCAAAGGTAAGAAAGGCATATTTTCTGCCTTCTTTTTCTTTGTAAAATTGTTCCTTTTTCCAGGAAGAAAATAGTAAAAGAAATCTTTTGATCTCTGTGTTCCACCATATAAGCATTTTTTAGATTATCCCTTT
Organism: Homo sapiens; assembly: GCF_000001405.40. Taxonomy (NCBI): domain Eukaryota; kingdom Metazoa; phylum Chordata; class Mammalia; order Primates; family Hominidae; genus Homo; species Homo sapiens. Next base: position 49,307,418 of record NC_000002.12, read on the forward strand.
TCTAACTGCTATTTGATTCTGAATTTATGTGTACACTCAATTAAACCAGACAATAAAAAAAAAACCCTAACAATTTACCTGAACATTTAAGGCTACTATAAACATTAATTTCCCTGGCCAAATTAATAAAGAGGGGGCTCTAATTAATAGAGTTGCTGTATATATGCAAAATATAATTTGGTAATCCACTTTCTGTTAAATATTATAATACAATCAACTTAACTTTAAATCTCTCTTAAAATTACTTTATTCTATTTTTGCTAAATTACAATGTTTTTCAATATCTTGCAGGGTCTTAGAATCTTTACCAGATACAAAAATAATAACTTCACAATGGAAATGTGGACTTATGGTGAGTTGTGTATTTTTCGAAAAGAATTGTATCCTAGGCAGAGCCTTTATATAGCAAGTTTTTCCTCTTCAAATTTGTTTTTAATTCAGTCTCATAGTAGTCCTATAAGGTTAAAACATTATTACAGTATTATTTTTCTCATTTTATGGATAGATCAACGGACCACAAAAAGATTAAGTGACTTGCCTGGGGTTATGTAAAATAACTTTACTGGCAAAGCCAGGACTATATCTCACGTTTCCCGAGTCTCAGTCTTTGAGCCTAATCAGAGAATTTCTACTTATTTTACGTACAATTTATCTAACTTTTAATTGATTATTTGACAAATTTCTATCCTTTAAATATTTTAATATCATTCCTATTTACCTATTAGTTGGGAAACTTCCTAGTTTGAGGTAATCGATCATTGAATATCTATTAGGTATGGGATGGCCTACTACAAAACAGGCAGAAGAAATGCTTTTCTCAAGAAACTTGGAATGTAAATATTGATGTATAAGATCACTTTCACATGGGTTAGACTAATTATAATGCTTAGCATGAAACATGTTAGTTCTTGTAACCAAGGAAAGTATTATGGTCAGAAATCACTGTACAGTTATTCCATCTTTGGTCCTAGAGTTGATGTGATATTGGCAAGAGGTTAGACAAATAGACCAAAGGAACAGAATAAAGAGTTCAAAGATATACTCACATGTCCACAGTCATCTGATACATAGCAAATATGCCATTACAATTCAGGGAAGAAAGAATGGTCTTTTCCGTAAATGGTGCTTAGTTACATGGTTACTCATATGTGAAATAAATATAACTTGACCTCTACCTCATACCATATGAAGAGTAATTTAGGATTAACCATGGACCTAAGTGTGAAAGGCAAAGGCATAAAGCATCTAGATGAACATAGGAGAATGGCTTGGTGTCTTCAGGGAGGCCCAGTCTAATCAAACAGGTCCTTAAAAGTGGAAAAAAAAGAAAGAAGAGTGGTCAGAAAGATGAGGCATGAGATGGTCTCAATCTACCACTACTGGCTTTGAAGATGGAAGAAGGGCTTTGAGCCAATGACTATGGCAGCTTGCAAGCTGGAAAAGGCAAGGAAACAGATTCTTATAATATCCAGAAAGCAGTATAGCCCCAGTGACGGTTTTATTTTAACAAACTGAGACTTGTGTCAGACTTCTAACCTATAGAATTGTAAAGTTACACATGTGTGATATTTGAAACCACTAAGTTTGTGATAATTTATTATGGCAGCAATACAAAATTTAAAAAAAAAGGAAATTTAAAAACAAAACATTCCTATTCCTCCTTTATGAAGAAGCTTAAAAGTGACACTCACCTGCTTCCTTTAAACCTAGTTACTCTACCCCTGGAGAGCTCAGAGAACTCTATTTTACTACCATTCATCTTGTTTTACCTTATATTTCTACTGGATTGTGGATTCTCTGTAGGCATCTTTACATCTTCCATTGTATATATGCCAGGCACCGTACATGTGTTCACTTTATATACTAGGTGCTCTATGCATCTTTGGTAAATTACTTTAAATTGAACCATTTATTTGCATGAGGGGCAGCAACCAGGAAAGACAAGATTCCACTAATGTGTTCTCTTAGCCTGCTTAGCAAGCTTTCCACTGCAAAGATACATTAATGCTAGGGTTCTGAATAATGAAGCTGAGGTTGTTTAAAACAGCAGGCTGGCATCAGATGAAACATTTCCATATCATTCTACATTAAATAAAACATTTACCATTTCATGCTTTCTTTTCTGGTAATTTTGCCTTGTCCTTCACGTTAGTGATTTGTTCCACATGGCCACTCATTTAAGATAACAGCAGGCCAAGAGGTGTGACAAATGGAGACAGGGCCATACCTGATCACCAGGATTCCATTACGCTTCCTTGAGTTTAGAACTAGTAAAACTGTCAGTATCTTAAAACAAAGGAACTGTGCTTGAGTCTACATATTAGGAATTCAGTGACTGCAGTAGCAGTGATCGCATTATATAGCAAATGGACAGACATGGCTATAAAGGGAGCCTACAGTCAAAATAAATGAACTGTTTTTCTGTGTCCAGTCAAACAACAAATATTTTCCAGTACCTATTATATGTGTAGCCCTGTGATAAGTACTGCAAAGGGATATGAGGGGGAGAAGATAGATGCTTTATATTTCAAAAATATTTAACAGTGGGGAAAGAAAAGATTAGGAAAAGTAACACAAGGGTGAAACAAGTATATGCAATAAAAATTCAGTGGAGCGAGGGAGCATTTCACCAGGAAGGCTTTGGAGAATTGATAGGAATAAAGGTAGTAGTAACATTTAAGCATTAAGTTGGACAGCTGAAGATGTATGGTGTTGGTATGTGCGGGGTACATTCTAGGAAACACTCTCAGTCCCATTTGTCTCAAACAGGGTTTGTCAACCTCTGCTCTACTGACCTCCCAGTCTGTGTAGTTCTCTGTTGAGGTGGGGGGGGGGCATTGTAGGATGTTTAGCAGCATCTTTTGCCCCTACCAACTAGATGCCAGTTACTTTACCTCCTCTTGGAGGTATGACAACCAAATGTCCCCTGAGAAGCAAAATTGTCCCCAGTTAAGAACCACTGTCGTGGAGTAAAAGTTCAGAGAGAGGAGACATGAGAGTTACATGCCATGTCAAAGAGTTGGGAATTTCATTCCAAAGGTAATGAGGAACCACTGAAAACATTTATGCTGGAGAATGGCAAGTTAAAAAATTGTTTGAACGCAATTTATGTGATGGAAGCACCCGAGAAAAACTGGAGGGAGGTGTTGTAGGGAAAGGGAAGAACAACTTAAAAGCTATCACAATTGTCCAAGCATAAAATGAGGAGGTTTGGTGGCAGCAGAACTAGAGAGCACTCGGTGGCTATAGGTATTCTTTTTTGTATTTTTAAATTTTATTTTAAATTCAGGATGTACATGTGCATGTTTGTTACATGAGTATATTGCATACTGGTGGGGATCAGTCCTGTAGTATACCCATTACCCAAATAGTGAACATTGCACTTGATAGGTGATTTTTCAACCCTCAACCCCTTCTTCCATTCTCCCCACTGTTGGAGTCCCCAAGGTCTATTATTCTCCTCTGTATGTCCATGTGTACTCGTTGTTTAGCTCCCACTTATAAGTGACTGCGTGAGGTATTTAATTTTGATTTTCTGTTTTTGAATTAGTTCCCTTAGGATAATTGCCTACAGCTTCATGCTGCAAAGAACATGATTCATTCTTTTCATGGCTGCGTAGTATTCCATGGTGTATATCTACCACATTTTCTTTATCCAGTCAACCATTGATGGAAACTTAGGTTGGTTCCATGACTTTGCTATTACAAATAGTGCTGTGATGAACATATGAGTGCAGATGTATTTTTTATATAATTTTTTTTCCTTTGGTAGGTACTCAGTAGTAGGATTGCTGGGTTGAATGTTCTATTTTTAGTTATTTGAGAAATCTCCACACTGTTTTCTATGGAGGTTGAACGAATTTACATCCCCATCAACAGTGTCTAAGTGTTTTTCCCCACATCCTGGTCCTGTGTGTAAGCTTAGATGGAGAAAGGAACAGCCACAAGCAGCAGCTAAAGCAATCTGTAGCTTGGGAACCTTGGCTAGGAACGATTCACAGACTGTTGGTTAGGAAAAAGCAGTGTAGCAGCATAGAAGCAGGCATGTGGTGCCAATCTTCTGAGACCATCTTTCAGGCCCATGGAGAGAAACTAGCAGCAACTTCCAAGCCACCAGAAGCCTCTAAAACAATACATTTTCACTTTCACTCCATTCTGTCTATAAATTTTAAATTCATATCCAATTATGGTAAAAATATTTTAGTAAGTTTTTTTAAATAGTTAAATAGCACTGAAAGGAAAAAGAGGGGAATATATGCTTGGTTCTCCATTCTGTGGCCATTTTTGAAGTTCACTGAACCCAGTTTGGAATTTTGGAAAACCTGTTATTGTGGCTGAGCTCCATGGAAGGTCACTTCCTTCATGTTTTAAAAGTGACACTGAAACACAATAGGTAATTTTCCACGTTTAGGCTACAATGATATAATTAATTAATAAGATTTCCTCAACTGATTAAAAGTTCCATAAGGGCAATTACCACATCATATATTGTTATTCTCTACGTCTTTGCGCAGTAAAATAGGGGCAAATAACAGCTTACGCTTGTCACCTGCCTGAAGTTAAATTCACTGTTACTCATGAGCAAAATGACTTGTGAAAAGAATGAAGTTCTTGATATCACAGGTTGAGGAAATATTCTACCCAAGAGGCATGTGGTATATTACCTTGGAGCACAGGATCAGGAATCAGACAAACTGTGTTCAATTCCTGCAATCACCACTTCTATGTGTATGAACTTGAGAGATCTGTTTACTCTCAGTGCCCCAGACTGACACCTCACACGGCCGGGTACTCCTCTGAGACAAAACTTCCAGAGGAACGATCAGGCAGCAGCATTTGTTGTTCACCAATATCTGTTGTTCTGCAGCCTCTGCTGCTGATACCCAGGCAAACAGGATCTGGAGTGGACCTCCAGCAAACTCCAACAGACCTGCAGCTGAGGGTCCTGACTGTTAGAAGGAAAACTAACAAACAGAAAGGACATCCACACCAAAACCCCATCTATATGTCACCATCATCAAAGACCAAAGGTAGATAAAACCACAAAGATGGGGAAAAAACAGAGCAGAAAAACTGGAAACTCTAAAAATCAGAGCACCTCTCCTCCTCCAAAGGAACACAGCTCCTCACCAGCAATGGAGCAAAGCTGGACGGAGAATGACTTTGACAAGATGAGAGAAGAAGTCTTCAGATGATCAAACTACTCCGAGCTAAAGGAGGAAGTTCAAACCCATGGCAAAGAAGTTGAAAACCTTGAAAAAAATTAGACGAATGGCTAACTAGAATAACCAATGCAGAGAAGTCCTTAAAGGACCTGATGGAGCTCAAAACCATGGCAAGAGAACTACGTGACAAATGTACAAGCCTCAGTAGCTGATTCGATCAACTGGAAGAAAGGGTATCAATGATGGAAGATGAAATGAATGAAATGAAGCGAGAAGAGAAGTTTAGAGAAAAAAGAATAAAAAGAAATGAACAAAGTCTCCAAGAAAGATGGGACTATGTGAAAAGACCAAATCTATGTCTGACTGGTGTACCTGAAAGTGACGGGGAGAATGGAACCAAGTTGGAAAACACTCTGCAGGATATCATCCAGGAGAACTTCCCCCAATCTAGCAATGCAGGTCAACATTCAACTTCAGGAAATACAGAGAATACCACAAAGATACTCCTCAAGAAGAACAACTCCAAGATACATAATTGTCAGATTCACCAAAGTTGAAATGAAGGAAAAAATGTTAAGGGCAGCCAGAGAGAAAGGTCGGGTTACCCACAAAGGGAAGCCCATCAGACTAACAGCGGATCTCTCAGCAAAAACTCTACAAGCCAGAAGAGAGTGGGGGCCAATGTTCAACATTCTTAAAGAAAATAATTTTCAACCCAGCATTTCACATCCAGCCAAACTAGGCTTCATAAGTGAAGGAGAAATAAAATACTTTACAGACAAGCAAATGCTGAGAGATTTTGTCACCAACAGGCCTGCCCTAAAAGAGCTCCTGAAGGAAGCGCTAAACATGGAAAGGAACAACCAGTACCAGCCACTGCAAAAACATGCCAAATTGTAAAGACCATCAAGGCTAGGAAGAAACTGCATCAACTAACGAGCAAAATAACCAGTTAACATCATAATGACAGGATCAAATTCACACATAACAATACTAACCTTAAATATAAATGGGCTAAATGCTACAATTAAAAGACACAGACTGGCAAATTGGATAAAGAGTCAAGACCCATCAGTAAGCTATATTCAGGAAACCCATCTCATGTGCAGAGACACACATAGGCTCAAAATAAAGGGATGGAGGAAGATCTACCAAGCAAATGGAAAACAAAAAAAGGCAGGGGTTGCAATCCTAGTCTCGGATAAAACAGACTTTAAATCAACAAAGATCAGAAGAGACAAAGAAGGTCATTACATAATGGTAAAGGGAACAATTGAACAAGAAGAGCTAACTATCCTAAATATATATGCACCCAATACAGGAGCACCCAGATTCATAAAGCAAGTCCTTAGAGACATACAAAGAGACTTAGACTCCCACACAATAATAATGGGAGACTTTAACACCCCACTGTCAACATTAGACAGATCAATGAGACAGAAAGTTAACAGGGATATTCAGGAATTGAACTAAACTCTGCACCAAGCGGACCTAATAGACATCTACAGAACCCTCCACCCCAAATTAACAGAATATACATTCTTTTCAGCACCACACCACACCTATTCCAAATTTGACCACATAGTTGGAAGTAAAGCGATCCTCAGCAAATGTAAAAGAACAGAAACTATAACAAACTATCTCTCAGACTACAGTGCAATCAAACTAGAACTCAGGATTAAGAAACTCACTCAAAACCGCTCAACTACATGGAAACTGAACAACCTGCTCCTGAATGACCACTGGGTACATAACGAAATGAAGGCAGAAATAAAGATGTTCTTTGAAACCAATGAGAACAAAGACACAACATACCAGAATCTGTGGGACACATTCAGAGCAGTGTGTAGAGGGAAATTTATAGCACTACATGCCCACAAGAGAAAGCAGGAAAGATCTAAAATTGACACCCTAACATCACAATTAAAAGAACTAGAGAAGCAAGAGCAAACACATTCAAAAGCTAGCAGAAGGCAAGAAATAACTAACATCAGAGCAGAACTGAAAGAGATAGAGACACAAAGAACCCTTCAAAAAATCAATGAATCCAGGAGCTGGTTTTTTGAAAAGGTCAACAAAATTGATAGACCACTAGCAAGACTAATAAAGAAGAAAAGAGAGAAGAATCAAATAGATGCAATAAAAATGATAAAGGGGATATCACCACTAATCCCACAGAAATACCAACTACCATCAGAGAATACTATAAACACTTCTATGCAAATAAACTAGAAAATCTAGAAGAAATAGATAAATTCCTAGACACATACACCCTCCCAAGACTAAACCAGGAAGAAGTTGAATCACTGAATAGATCAGTAACAGGCTCTGAAATTGAGGCAATAATTAATAGCTTACCAACCAAAAAAAATCCAGGACCAGACGGATTCACAGCCGAATTCTACCAGAGGTACAAGGAGGAGCTGGTACCATTTCTTCTGAAACTATTCCAATCAATAGAAAAGGAAGGAATCCTCCCTAACTCATTTTATGTAGCCAGCATCATTCTGATACCAAAACCTGGCAGAGACACAACCAAAAAAGAGAATTTTAGACCAATATGCCTGATGAACATCGATGCAAAAATCCTCAATAAAATACTGGTAAACCGACTCCAGCAGCACATCAAAAAGCTTATCCACCATGATCAAGTGGGCTTCATCCCTGGGATGCAAGGCTGGTTCAACATACACAAATCAATAAACGTAATCTAGCATATAAACAGAACCAAAGACAAAAACCACATGATTATCTCAATTGATGCAGAAAAGGCCTTTGACAAAATTCAATAACCCTTTATGCTAAAAACTCTCAATAAATTAGGTATTGATGGGACATATCTCAAAATAATAAGAGCTATCTATGACAAACCCACAGCCAATATCATACTGAATGGACAAAAACTGGAAGCATTCCCTTTGAGAACTGGCACAAGACAGGGATGCCCTCTCTCACCACTCCTATTCAACATAGTATTGGAAGTTCTGGCCAGGGCAATCAGGCAGGAGAAGGAAATAAAGGGTATTCAATTAGGAAAAGAGGAAGTCAAATTGTCCCTGTTTGCAGATGACATGATTGTATATCTAGAAAACCCCATCATCCCAGCCCAAAATCTCCTTAAGCTGATAAGCAACTTCAGCAAAGTCTCAGGATACAAAATCAATGTGCAAAAATCACAAGCATTCTTATACACCAATAACAGACAAACAGACAGCCAAATCATGAGTGAACTCCCATTCACAATTGCTTCAAAGAGAAGAAAATACCTAGGAATCCAACTTACAAGGGATGTGAAGGACCTCTTCAAGGAGAACTACAAACCACTGCTCAATGAAATAAAAGAGGATACAAACAAATGGAAGAACATTCCATGCTCATGGGTAGGAAGAATCAGTATCATGAAAATGGCCATACTGCCCAAGGTAATTTATAGATTCAATGCCATCCCCATCAAGCTACCAATGACTTTCTTCACAGAATTGGAAAAAACTAAAGTTCATATGGAACCAAAAAAGAGCCTGCATTGCCAAGTCAATCCTAAGCCAATAGAACAAAGCTGGAGGCATCAGGCTACCTGACTTCAAACTATACTACAAGGCTACAGTAACCAAAACAGCATGGTACTGGTACAAAAACAGAGATATAGACCAATGGAACAGAACAGAGCCTTCAGAAATAATGCCACATATCTACAACTATCTGATCTTTGACAAACCTGACAAAAACAAGAAATGGGGAAAGGATTCCCTATTTAATAAATGGTGCTGGGAAAACTGGCTAGCCATATGTAGAAAGCTGAAACTAGATCCCTTCCTTATACCTTATACAAAAATTAATTCAAGATGGATTAAAGACTTAAATGTTAGACCTAAAACCATAAAAACCCTAGAAGAAAACCTAGGCATTACCATTCTGGACATAGGCATGGGCAAGAACTTCATGTCTAAAACACCAAAAGCAATGGCAACAAAAGCCAAAATTGACAAATGGGATTTAATTAAACTAAAGAGCTTCTGCACAGCAAAAGAAACTACCATCAGAGTGAACAGGCAACCTACAGAATGGGAGAAAATTTTTGCAATCTACTCATCTAACAAAGGGCTAATATCCAGAATCTACAATGAACTCAAACAAATTTACAAGAAAAAATCAAACAATCCCATCAAAAAGTGGGCGAAGGATATGAACAGACACTTCTCAAAAGAAGACATTTATGCAGCCAAAAGACACATGAAAGAATGCTCACCATCACTGGCCATCAGAGAAATGCAAATCAAAACCACAATGAGATACCATCTCACACCAGTTAGAATGGCGATCATTAAAAAGTCAGGAAACAACAGGTGCTGGAGAGGATGTGGAGAAAAAGGAACACTTTTATACTGTTGGTGAGACTGTAAACTAGTTCAACCCTTGTGGAAGTCAGTGTGTCGATTCCTCAGGGATCTAGAACTAGAAATACCATTTGACCCAGCCATCCCATTACTGGGTATATACCCAAAGGATTATAAAACATGCTGCTATCAAGACACATGCACACGTATGTTTATTGCGGCACTATTCACAATAGTAAAGACTTGGAACCAAGCCAAATGTCCAACAATGATAGACTGGATTAAGAAAATGTGGCAAATATACACCGTGGAATACTATGCAGCCATAAAAAATGATAAGTTCATGTCCTTTGTAGGGACATGGATGAAGCAGGAAACCATCATTCTCAGCAAACTATCACAAAGACAAAAAACCAAACACCACATGTTCTCATAGGTGGGAACTGAACAATGAGAACACATGGACACAGGAAGGGGAACATCACACACCAGGGCCTGTTGTGGGGTGGGGCGAGAGGGGAGGGATAGCATTAGGAGATATACCTAATGTTAAATGATGAGTTAATGGGTGCAGCACACCAACATAGCACATGTATACATATGTAACTAACCTGCACGTTGTGTACATGTACCCTAAAACTCAAAGTATAATAAATAAAAAATAAATAAATTTAAAAAATAAATAAATAAAATGGGGCTAAACAGCACCTACCTGACAGGGGAATTATAAATAATTAATGGATATATATGCTTGAGGATGAAAACTATTATTAGAATGCTGAAGACAAATTAAATATAAAGTAAATATTTTAATATATATATATTTTAAAAATTGGTATTTGAAATGTGCTGGCTATTTAAAGGCCCACCCCCCTAGAAAATCCTTTGGTACTATAAAGAATCACCTTCTAATTTATTATTTAGTGCTAGTGGAGGTATATTAATTTACTGAAAGCAGACAGCTCCAACAAATCATGGATCATCTAGGAGTCAGCAAAGGGTAGGAAAAGCAAGATTTGGGGTCAGACCTTAGCTGTGACACTGATTCTCTCTATGAACATCCTCTCCTGAGCCCCATGTCCTTGCCTGTGACAAGGAGATAACCACCACCTCCCTTGCTAAGAAAATTAATGTGTGTAAGTCACCTACTGCAGGGTTTGGGTCACAGAGAAGTTTAGTGTCGCACTGACCTGCCTCAAGAAAGGAGACTTTGGTCTGTGTGACTACGTATGTCTCTCCTAATCTTAGAAAACATAAAAAAATCTAAGAACTACTGGTAGAAAAGTTCTCATTCTCCATATAAATGCAAACATATTTCCATTTCAATGACAATCAATCTCAAATGCATGTCTCTCAATCACCTTTACTTTTTCCATCATATACATCAAGTAAATGGGCCTGATTCAAGTGGGCTACAAAGCTTGCTGGGGGAAGGAGAAGCTAAAACATTAGAGAATAAAGTCCTGCATTATGATTTTTGAGGAAGAGCCATATCTGCTTTGTAGCAATCACTTCCATAGCCCATGAAACTCTTTTTTTATTGACTATGGAATGTAGACATACTGTCAAAGGATTTAAATCAATTTTTACAATCGCTTTCTTGAACTATCATTACCTCAACAAGATTCATAGCTGTAGCTGATTTGGAGAGAATTGTGACTAAAATATCAGAGCTGCAGCTCTTGTGGAAAAATTTCTCTCTGTGGATTGTTATTTTTCTGACACTTAAAAGCCTAATGCCAGAAAGAAATGAAATCCCATTTTGCATCTGCCTGTTTAAATGTGAGCTTTTAACTATCATAATTCCTAAGCCTGGCTTCGCATGTATCACTTTACTCCAAACAGAACATTGGGATTAATGGCCTGGTATTAAAAGCAGAAACAAAAAGCAATTGCTTTGGGAGGCACTCAAGTACAGTAATACCTAGCAGAAGAAAAGGGTTTGATACATAGCTGAAAAGCTAGTTTTGCACTAGTTATCAATGCAATCTTGTGGAAAAGTAATAGATCATTCTTCTATTTACTGGCATTTTGAAACTATGGATGCAATAGTTTAACCCTTGAAAAATTGGATTCATTTACTGAAGCATTGAAAATCAATGGAAAAGACCAATCCAGGTATCTCTCCATCTTCACTCTCTGCTAAATACTACACTTCTTGACAGGTGGGATTCCGTGTTATGTTATTAGCCTTCATAAAAGCCACAACCCTCAACCCACACGGGTCCTCAGTATGCCTTCCCAAGGAATTGGGCAGCAACTGGGGTCACAAAGAGGAAGAAGAAATGATTCCTGCCTTTATGTACCAGTAGGAAAGGGCAAAACAGATGCCTTAAAGTAATAGAAAATTGCTGTCTAATTCTAGACTAATTGGAAAACAAGCAGACTACTGGCTCCCTTCTCTAGATATTGGGATCGCCACAAAAGGGATAAGGAGGTGAATGGGTTTCAGAACAGTTTTATCAGACAAAACCAAAACACTGTCAAACACTTTGAGAATAAGATGATTTGACCTCTGGATGTTTGTTTGGTGGAGGAGAATTGGAATTAGTGCTGAAAACCAAGAGAAGGATGTGGTAATATAAATTAGACTGCAACATGAGAGGGGCAAGGGGACATTGAGGGTTATCAGAAATCATTTTCTAATCATTCTCTTTCCCTTCTTTTATATTGAGTTGAGTGGATCACCACATGCCTAATAGCTACCATGGGAGAAAGAAGTAGCAGATCCAGTCTAGCACCAACCATATCCAGTAAGCTCGTATCAGCATGGAAATTGGATGATGGATAGATGCTATACCCGGGACTGCAGGCATGCTGTTCTGATGCAGACCACCCTCACCCTGCTTGCTAGTACTTCTATCTACAACCAATAGAACAATTACATAAAAGGTTGGTGAAGGACCCCAGAAAAGAGTAGTACCTGAAACTGAGGCATTAGGAGATTTCCTGGAGTCAGGAGATGCCTATGGGAAAGGTGAGAGATGCAAAAAGGAAAGGTCAAACTGTAATCCCAACTAGCAGGCTAGATATTTGGGTTGAGAAACTATCTCAGGAGACATCAAGAAGAGATAGATTAGAAAAAAAAAATCCACCATGAAAGTGGAGCTCTAGAATCCTCAGAGAAACAATCCTAACTGGTGAATATTATCTATTTATTTATCTAACCACTTAACATCTCTGGAAATTGTCCTGACTGCTTACAACAAATGAGTAAGTGTTCATTAATGAAACACTAGTCAGGTGTGTACTACTCTGGTCAGGTATGGCCAAGAAGACAGCTCCCAATCAAGGGATATGATGTCTCACTTGGAGGGGCAGGACACTAGCATTTCTCATTACTCCTAGTTCTAAGTTGCAGAGGCTAATGTCCTGGTAAGTATAGTTTAGAAGCTAGGGGTTCTCTTCTCTCACCCATCTCCAACTTGTAAAGTGGAAGCTCTAACCCAAGGGTGTTAGGCTGAGAATGTTGGGCCTAATTACTCTTGCCCCAGCTTGCTTGTAGGGCCTACATTCCACACTGGGTTAGGTAAGCTGAAGAGACCAGAGTCTAGTGCCTGCACCCAGCACCCAGCTAGTAAGCAGGCTGCCATGTGAGAGAAGCCAGCCACCGATTCTACCCTCAACTCCAGGGCTGTGGCTCAGGGATTCTTATCAAATAGGATAAACGCACAATGAACTTCAAGTAGGATAAAAACAAAGGGATCCATAACCAGACATATGATGTTAAAAATGGTGAAATTCAAAGACAGAAATTTTGAAAGCAACAAGAGAAAAACAGCCCCCTGCAAACAAGGAAGACTTAGTAAATTTAACAGCTGACTTCTCCTGAGAAACAATGGAGGCCAAATTGCAGTAAATGACGTATTCAAGGACTGAAAGAAATAAACTGTCAACCAAGAATCTTATCTTCAGCAAATGTATCTTTTAAAAATGAAGGCAAAGTAAAAGTGTTTCTAGATACAAATGAAAAAGTAAAATAAATCATTTCTTCAGATCTACCTTATAAAAAAAACTAAAGGAAGTTCGTCAGGCTGAAAGCAAGTAAACCTAGATGGAAATTCACATCCAGATGAAAAAATAAGGAGCAAAGGTAATTATATAATTACAAAACATTATATATATATGTGTGTGCATATATATACACACACATACATATGTATATTTATTCTCTTACCTGATTTAAAAAAAATTTTTATAAAACAATAGTATATAATTAGATTGTTTGGTCTATAGCATACAGAAATGCAATATATTTGACAATACTAGCACAAAGAAGGTTGGTGAGAACAAGCTCTATTGGAGGAGGAAAATGACACGAGACAGTAACTTGAATCCATGGGAACAAATGAAGAGAACTGGACATAGTAAATAAGATTAATGTAACAAAGTCTATAAATATATCCTTTCTTTCCTTTCTTTTCTCAGCTTATTTAGTAGCCACAAAACTATACAAAGTACTTATAACAATGTATTTTGGGGTTTGTAACAGGTATAGATATTATATCCTTAACAATATTAGCATAAAGAAATAAAAATGGAAGAGAAATAGAACTGTATAGGAGCAGTGTTTCTTTATTTCACTGGAAATATTTTCTTGACAGTTTAAGTCTGATTTTGCCACCATGCAGACAAGGTAGTTTGGTTTTGCTGCTGCATAAGTTATGAAAAAGCGCTCAGTTTTCAGAAATATTTAAATTTTGGGTTTGTGAATAAAGTACTGTAGTCTGTATAATAGAATTTTAATAAATGTAAAAAATACTGAAACATGTTGAATACCAGAGATACACTTAGAAAGTGTGAAAATACAAGGATAGAAAAAGTATACCAGGCATATCAGAAATAAAATATTTCTGACAAAATTAAAGTCAAATGATCAGTGTTATATAGACATACAACAGCATATACCATTTTATGCTTATAAATGGAGCAAGAGAATAAATCAAAATCAGATGTGTGTAGCCTCATAATAGACCGACCCAAATTGCATAAAGTAACAATTGACAAAATTATGGGGAGATAGGTAAATCAACAACTATAATTATAGATTATAGTATATCCTTCTTGGTAACTGTTAAAGCAGAGAAAAATAAGGATAAATAATATCTGAAGAGTACTATCGACAAACTCAGTTTAAATATTTAAATACATGTATATAAATATAGTTCTGCACTGTATAATGACATTTTGGTCAACAATGAACTGCATATGTGACAGTGGTCCCATAATATTATGATGGAGCTGAAGAATTCCCATTGTTCATGATGATGTTGGTGTAAATAAACCCACTATATAGCCAGTTGTATGAAAGCAAAGCACATACAATTATGCGCAGTACATAATACTTGAGGATGATGGTAAATGACTATGTTACTGATTTATGCATTTATTATACTATATGTTTTATTGTTATTTTAGAGTATATCCCTTCTACTTATAAGGAAAAAAAAGGTAACTGTAAAACAGCCTCAGGCAGACACTGTAGGAGATATTCCAGAAAAAGGCATTGTTATCATAGGAGACAGTATCTCCATGCATGTTATTGCTCTAAAGACCTTTCAGTGGGACAGGATGTGGAAGTAGAAGGCAGTGATACTGATTATCTTGACCCCATTTCGCCTAGGCTAATGTGTGTGTCTGTCTTAGTTTTTAACAAAACCAAAAAACTTAGCAATTAAAACATAAATAAAAATGGAAAAGAGCTTATAGAAAAAGGATATAAAGAAATAAAATATTTTTGTACAGGTATACAATGTGCTTTTTAAGCTAAGTATTATTATAAAATAGTGAAAAAAAATTAAATTTGATATAGTTTGGCTCCGTGTTCCCACCCAAATTTCATGTCGAATTGTAATTCCCAATGTTGGGGAAGGGACCTGGTGGGAGGTGATTAAATCATGTGAATGGATTTCACCCTTGCTGTTCTGGTGATAGTGAGTGAGTTCTCAGGAGATTTGGTTGTTTAAAAGTGTGTGGCACTTCCCACTTCTCTCTCTCTCTCTCCTGCTCCACCATGGTAAGATGTGTTTGCTTCCCCTGACACCATGATGGTAGGTTTCTTGAGGCCTCTCAGCCATGCTTCCTGTATAGGCTGTAGAACTAAGAGTCCATTAAACCTCTTTTATTTATAAATTACCCAGTCTCAGCTAGTTCTTTATAGCAGTATGAGAATGGACCAATATAAAATTTAAAAAGTCTATAAAGTAAAAATGTTACAGTAAGCAAAGTTTAGTTCATTATTGAGGAAAAAATATTTCTTTATAAAGCATACAGTAATGTCCTAGGCCTTCATATTCACTCACCACTCACTCACTGACTGTATTAGTCCTAGTTCATTTTACATCACTATAAAGAATACCCGAGTCTGGGTAACTTATAGAGAAAAGAGGTTTATTTTGGCCCATGATTCTGCAGGCTGTACAAGCATGGCATTGGCATCTGCTTAGCTTCTGGGGAGGCCTCAGGAAACTTTTAGTCATGGCAGTAGGGAAGGGGAGTCAGTATGTCACATTGTGGGAGGGGGAGATACAGCGAGAGGGGAGAGGTGATGGCCTTTTTTAAACAACAAGATTCCATGTGAACTCACACAGTGAGAACTCACTCATTACCATGGGACAACACCAAGCTATTAATTAGAGATTTGCCCCAATGACCCAAACACCTCCCACAAGGCCCACCTCCAACATTAGAGGTTATGCTTCAACATGAAGTTTGAAGGGAACAAAAAACATCCAAACCATATAATTGACTCACCCAGAGCAACTTCCACTCCTGCAAGTTCCATTTATAAGAAGTACCCAATGGGGGTATACCATTAAAAAACATCTTTTATACTGTATTTTTTACTGTACCTTTTCTATGTGTAGATATGTTTATATATAAAAATACTTACCATTGTGTTATGATTGCCTACAGTATTCAGTAGAGTCCTATGCTGTACAGGTCTGTAGCCTAGAAACACTAGGCTATACCATATAGGTGTGTAGTAGGCTCTACCACCTAGCTTTGTGTAAGTATAGCCTGTGATGTTTGCACAATGGTGAAATCACCTAATGACACATTCTCAGAATATATCCCTGTCATTAATATTTGGAATCTATAAGGAACTTAAACAAATCAACAAGGAAAAAAAAAACAAATAATACTATTAAAAATGAGCAAAGGACATGAACAGACACTTCTTAAAAGAAGAGATACATACAGCCGAAAACATGAAAAAAATACTCAACATCACTAATCACCAGAGAAATGCAAATTAAAACCACAATGAGATACCATCTCATACAAGTTAGAAAGGCTATTACTAAACAGTCAAAAAATAATAGATGTTGGCAATGATGTAGAAAAAAGGGAGTGCTTATACACTGTTGATGGGAATGTAAATTTGTTCAACTCCTATGAATGACAATGTGGAGAGTTTTCAAAGAACTAAAAATAGAACTACGATTCAACCTAGAAATCTCACTACTGGACAGCTACTCAAAGGAAAACAAATTGTTTTATCAAAAAGATACCTGCACTCATATGTTTATCACAGCACTATTCACAATAGGAAAATGTCCACCAACAGTGGATTGGATAAAAAAAAATTGTGGTACATATACACCATGGAACACTACACAACCATAGAAAATATGAAATCATGTTCTTTTCAGCAACATGGATGGAGCTGGACACCATAATCCTGAGTGAAGTAATGCAAAAACAGAAAATCAAATACCACATTTTCTCACTTTTAAGTGGGAGCTACACAATGCGTACACATGGACATAAAAATGAAAACAATAGACACTGGGGACTCCAAAGGAGGGAGGGAGGGGAGAAGGGTTGAAAAACCATTTGAGTGATAGATTCACTAGAAGCCCAAACCCACCATTACAAAATATATTCATGTAATAAACCTGCACATTTACCTTCTGAACTTGCAATGGGAAAGGAATAAAGTACACTGGAAGTGGTAAATATGTGGGTAACTATAAACAATTTTAAAAATAAACAAAACAATGAAATTCTTCACAATAAAAAGAACACATCCCTATTGTCAAATGAGGCATGACTTCACAGAATTTAAAATTAATACACAGAAAATTTCTTTAATTATACATATATACACATATATATAATTAATAGAAATTGATGATACATTAGGCCACATGTTAAGGAACAGAAAAGGAACACATCAGAAAATGTAAGTTGTTGATAATTTTCTAGTTCTTGCATTAGATGAAGGGCTCCAAAGTGTCTATTATAATATACATAAATAAATGAACATGTAAATAAGCAGACAAAAAAACAAATCAAAAAATAAAAGTAGGTTATGCACGGAAAAATAGTTATAGTGTATTATGATCCAAGGATTAGAATTAAAATTTCTGTACAAAAAAGTAGAAAAACATTTTAAATGTAGGCCTTGGACATCAGGGAAGATAGTAAAGAAGGAAGTGCCAGGTATCCACATGCCCATCTAGACCTAGACAACAATTGTACTGGTAGAATCTGTTGGATGTGACTATTTTGGAACTCGAGAGTCTATCAAAGGCTTGTAGCTTCCAGAGCAAGACATGGACACTGAATCAGAGTTGATTTTGATTAGTTTCAGCTTTCTGTGGGTAGCAGCTACCTATCTCTTTATCCAACTCTCTGTCAGGCAGCCACATTTGCGTTCCTGGAACAGCTTATGCACAGTCTGTGGGAGTCAGCATGGGCAATAAGGATCTTGTCCTCTGCATATCGGAGATGTGTGTTCAGATTACCTATTGCTGCTTTTGATCATGGAGGTGCAGACATAGAGGCAGGCTGCCATTCCTACAATGCCTTCTGCTATTTTTACAACATCCTCTGGCTGAAGTGGATTCCAGAGGATATAAAGCGCCAGACCCTGTGTTTTGTTTAGTTTTTCCCCTTCATTTTCTTTTGGAAATCAAACATTTAAAGACTAGGACATTTAAAACCAACCATATATCCTAGGGAATTTAGAGAGTTACCACACATGCCTAGGAAGGAACAGAGGTTCAGAAAATAATTGAGAAGACCTTAATTATACATCTCAGGCTGATCCCTGGCACAGAGACATCCTCCAACAATCAGCAGCAAACAGACAGACACAAAACAAACGAACAAAAAAACAGTAAACCCTAGGAAAAGACAGGAAGCTTTTCTTCTAAAATTAGAAACAACAAGCCAAGGATGCTTCGTTTCACCACTTCAATTCAGCATAGAAGTTCTAGCCAGTGCAATTAGGCAAGAAGAAAAAAGAGGAATTCAAACTGAAGTGGAAGAAATAAAAATATTTCTGTTTGCTGGTGACATGATCTTATATGTAGAAAGCTAAAGATTTCACAGGGGAAAAATATTGGAATTAATAAATGAATTCAGAAAAGTAGCAGGATACAGACCTCACACACAAATATCATTTGTGTTTATATCCACTAATAATAAATAATCCAAAAAGAAAATTAAGAAAACAATTTCAATTACAATAGCATCAAAATGAATAAAATAATTAGGAATTAGCTAAGAAGGTGAAAAACTTATACAATGAAAACCACAAAACATTGCTGGATAAAATTAAAGAAAAAAATGAGTAAAAAGATATCCTATGTTCATGGGTTGAAAACTTTGTATTGTTAAGATGTCAAAGCAATCTACAGATTCAATGCAATCCCTATTGAAATCCCAACATTTTCTTGGAGAAATAGCACACTTCATTCCAAAATTTGTATGAAATCTCAAGGGACTTCAAATAGCTAAAACAATCTTGAAAAAGAATAAAGTTGGATTACAAATACTTCTAGATTTCACAATTAAGTGTTAAGCTAAAGTAATCAAAACAGTGTGGTTTTAACATAAAGATAGACATATATGCAAATAAAATAGAAAATCCAGAAATTGACCCTCATTGCGTATGGTTGAATGTTTTATTGACAACGGTGCCAGACTCAACAGAGAAATTATACCCTTTTCAATAAATGGTGCTGGGAAAAATGGAAATCCATATGCAAAAGAATGGACCTTTATATACAAACTTATACAAATATTAACTCAAAATGTATCAAAGACATAAGTGTAAAAGCTACAACTATAAAACTTTAGAAGAAAGCATATAAGAGCTTTTTGACATTGGATTTGGCAATGATTTCTTGACTATGACACCAAAGATAGGCAACCAAAGGAAAAATAAACAAATCAGACTTCACCAAAATCTAGATTTTTTTTTTTTTGCATCAAAAGACACTATCAACAGAGTAAAAATGCAACCCACAGAATGGGAGGAAATATTTGCATCAGATGTCTGGCAAGGGATTAATATGTAGAATATATGCAGAACTCTTAAAATTCGACAACAATAAAACAACCCAATTTATAAATAGGCAAAAGACCTAAAGAAACATTTATCCAGAGAATGTGTACAGATAGCTAATAAGCACATACAAAATATTAATATGCTCAGCCTCACAGATATTTAGAAAAATGCAAATCAAAACAACTATGAGATACCACTTCAGAACCATTACGATGGCTATTACTAAGAGAACAGAAAATAACAAGTGTTGGCATGGATGTGGAAAAAATGAAAACCTTGCACATTTCTGGTGGGAATGTAAAACAGTGCAGCTGCTGTGAAAAACAGCATAGTGGTTCCTCAAAAATTAAACATACAATTACCACTTGATTGAATAATTTCACTTCTAGGTATATACACAAAAGAATTGAAAGCAAGGACAAACAGGTATTTCCACACCCATGTTTATAACAGCATTATTCTCAATAGCCAAAAATAGAAACAACCCAAATGTCCATCATCAACCGGTAATCAAAATATGCTGTAAACAATAGACATATATACCTTAAACAAAGAAATTCTGTTACATGCTATGACATGGATGAAATGTGAAGACATTATGATAAATGAAATGTCAGACACAAAAGGAGAAATATATGATTCCACTCTTATAAGGTAATTAAAATAGTCAATTTCACAGAGCCAGGAAGTAGAACAGTCATTGTTAGGGGTGGGAGGAAGGGGACAATGGGAAGTTATTGTTTAATGGATACAGAGTTTCATTATGAAATGGTAAACCTTTCTGGAAATAGATAATGGTGATGGTTTCACAACAATGTGAATGTACTTAATTCTACTGGACTGAACAGTTAAAAATGGTTAAAATGGTAAATTTTATGCTATGTGTATTTTACCATTTTTTTAAAAAGTCCTGAATTAATTTCAGAAATTAACATAAAGAACATTTCCTTGATTAAATGCTATAAAATTTAAAACTATAACAAAAGCATAAAAAAAACTCCTATTTCTTGAAATCAAAGAACCTCTTATTGACACTTTAAGAAAGAAAATTGAAATAAAAAATACTTAAGAGCTGAATGACAATTAAAACACTAAATGTCAAACTTTTCAGAATAAAGCTAAATTATTTATTGGTTATTGGTTTGAACTCATACATTAGAAAAGTAGCAAACAACGACAACAAAATAATGAAAAAGCAAATGATCTAAGCTTTGTACTAAACTAGAAAGATAGAAGAAGGAAAAAAATATTAAAGTTAAGAGTATGAATCAAGAAGTACAAAAATCTCACTAACATGACAAATTAAGAAACTGGTCCTTTAGAAGATTAATGTGATAGAAAAATTTTTGCAAGACTTGAAACAAGTTGATACAAATAAGCAGAGTATTAAAATGCATATATAAAAATATAAAGTATTACGAGTAACACATGATTTATTTGAAATATATACTTAATATAATATAAACAAACTTCTAGAGTATAAAATAATATTTAAAGAAAATATGAATAGACCTATAAACATTTATGGAATTTAAATGGAAATCACAGTATTTATTTACAAAAAAGACTTAAATCCAGATAACTTTATGGTTAAGTTCTGTAAAAGTTTCAAGAATAATCCTTTCTTAATGAAGGTTTTTAGCAGAATAAAGATAAAGAAGGCAATCTGAACAAGTAAAAAGAGACAATCCAGTAAAATGAAAGTAAAGCCAATTTTACAGATATGTATAAATGACTAAATCCTAAATGAAATGTTAAGTACCTGAGGATAAATGTTCACATATGTACCATAATCAAGAGGGATTTATCCCAAGAATGCAAGTCAGAAAATATGTTGATATTATTTTCCCCATTAAAAGATAAAGGAGAAAAACATACGATTATGTTAATCGATACACATAAAGCAACTGAAAGTTCAAAACCTATTATTATAAAAAAAATCCTAAAACATAAACATTTAGAAAAATGGAAATAGGTGGTAATTTCTTATCATGATAAAGGTTATTCAATGCAAGCCTGTAGCAAATATATTTAATGGAAAACCTTTAATCGTCTTTGAAGTAAAAAATATGACAAGGATGCTTGCTACCACTCTTACTGGTTAACAGAGTTCTTTCTCTCTCAATCTCTTTCTCTCTCTCTCTCTCTCTGTGCATACATATGTATGTATATATGACTTAGAAGGTGTGGTAGGCACAGAGATGGACTGTTCACATTCGCCTTCAGCAAAAGCCTTGCCACCAGCCATGGGGAGTAGATGGCCTTCAGCAGTCTGCTCCTTTAGGGCTTTGCTCACTTTCAAAGAACTGAGTCACCTGAGGTCATGCCCTTCTTGGATCACCTGTCACCTGGTGATTGAACAAGGCAGTACATAAAGGTCTGGCTCTTTTGATCCACCAGAGGACAATTCTGATTAGCATTCCTCATTTCAGAACTCCTTGCTGAGACGTCTGAGGCTGTGTTGGATCTGCATAGCAGTTTTAACTTCTCTCATTCCCCTATGCTGAGACCTCCTCTTTCCTTTCATAGGTGTTGATCCCCCATTAAACACCTTGAATTCTTAACTCTATCCCAGAATCTTCTGCAGATGAACCCAAAAGAAACAAATATATGATCAGTGACATAGAAAACTTAATGGAATGACTAAGAGTGTTTAGAAATGTTGCTTAGAGGATCAGTATTTTTTAAAAATCAATTTTCTGGCTATGTTGGACTAGCAATTTACAGATTGAATTTCTCACCAGTAACAACTAAGAAGGCGGGATAAAATATAGAAAACATATATTTGAAAGAAATAGAGAATTGAAAAGAGTAATAACTTGAGAGGCCAAGATAAGCCAACTTTCCCTTTGTTGCATTTGCATATTTATTATTAGTGCAAGCAGAGAGACTAAGAAGCAGTGCATAAAGTAGTTGTTAAGAGTCAGAGAATCTCAACAAAAATTTTAGCAGTCCCACTTTTAGGGGAAAAGAGAAACCACAGATAAACATCTATTTACTAAGGTATAGTTAAAGAAACTGTGTGCCACTAACCAAAGAACCAATCAATAGGTAATAAAATAAAATAGAAAACCTAGGATCAAGCCTACATCTAAAGAGGACACTGGTGTGTAATACAGGTGTCACATATTAGTGGGGTAAAGAATGGATTTCTGAAGAAATGATATTGGAAAAATAGGTTCACTGTACTGAAAATCATAAAAACAAAATTATACCTTTATTTCCCAGCTGAACTCCAGATGTATCAGAAGCCTAAATGTATAACTCCAAGTTAACATAAGAAAAATATAAAAACTTGTGTCATCTTGGAATAAGAAATTTTTAAAGAATACACAAAAAAGGACTATTCAAGGAGAAAAATTGGTAAATTTTCCCACATCCAAATCGCACAGTTCTCTTTACTGAACTACCTAATAGACAAGGCTACTGGTTTTGTGACAAGATTTGAAGGTGGTATTTGCTTCATTTAAACAGATAAGTGATTGATATCTGTAATATAAAACAACACCTGGAAATAAGTAAATGACAGAAAATCCAACAGAAATTTGAGGAAAGCATATGAACAAGGAAGTCACAGAAAGAGACCAAATGACAAATATGTAACAATAATGATGAAAATATTGATAGTAATTGTTATGAATAATTCTATTGTATTAGTCCATTTTCACACTGCTATAAAGCCGCTACCTGAGACTGCATAATTTATAAAGGAAAAAAGTTTAATTGACTCACAGTTCCACATGGCTGGGGAGGCCTCAGGAAACTTATAATCATGGCAGAAGGTGAAGGGGAAGCAAGGCACATGTTACATGGCAGCAGGAGAGAGAGCAAGCGAAGGGAGAACTGCAAAACACTTTGAAAACTGTCAGCTCTCCTGAGAACTCCCTCACCATCATGAGAACAGCATGGGAAAATCACGCCTGTGATCCCATCACTTCCCAATAGGTCCCTCCCTCAATTACAGGGATTACAATTTAAGATGAGATTTGGGTTGGGGGACAGAGCCAAAGCATATCAACTATGTTCCTAGGAATAAAGTACATATATTAATTTTACATATATTAATTTATAGAGCTCCACAGAGAGACCTGCACAATAAGACCCATTTCATAACTGCTTATGGTAAAAGTAGGACAAGAAGAACACAGGTGGTCCTCACTATAAAATGAGAAAAATGTAATATGTGCATGTGGTAGAATACCATACAGTTAAGGAATTAGACATATATATGCCATCATGGAATAAAGTTGAAAACAGCAGGAAATGCATACACAATACCTTTCATGGAAACCAAACACATACGCGTAATACCAATTTTAAGTTCACATGTATATCAAAATATATATGTTAAGATGAGTTTGATAATTATGTACCCAAAACACTAGAGCTTAAGAAGGGAGGAAAATAGAAAAAGTGAGAGGAAATGCTGAAGGGGTGCTGCCCTTAAGAGACAGAATAAACATTGGCTGTTATTTTGAGAATATCATACATTCAGTTTTTTATAAACATTAAGACTTAAGTGCAAAAAGAAGGAAGCAAAAAAAGGAAAGAAGGAATGAAGGAAGGGGCAAGGGAGGGAAGAAAGTTAGGGCGGGAAGAAAGAAATCCCATCAGAAACCAATTTAAACAGTTAGGAAAGTTTTATCTCACATACTTGGAAGGCAATCCAGTGGCTCTGTCTCCATCCCCTGAGACGCTCTACTCTATGTGATATTCATCCTCAGGCTGGCAGCAGGACAGTTGCAGCAGTTCCAGTCCCACCTGTACCCAACAATGTTCAGAAGGAGAGATGATAGTTTTTGGAGGCTCTTTTGGGGAAAGAATATTCCCCCAATACCACAGTAGACCTCAACTCCAGTCTTATTGGCCCAAATTTGGTCACATGTTCTTTCCTGAAACAATCACTGGCAAGGTGATCGACTGACTTTATTCCTAAAAAACTGGTCTTACCAACAACTCTAGAAGTGGGGTTGGCTTCCCTGAGGCTGTGGTTCTCAACTGGGAGCAGTTTTGCCTTTCAGGGCGAATTGGCAATGTCTAGAGACATTTAAAATAATATATCACAACAAGGGGTCAGTTGCTATTGGCATCTAGTGGATAGAGACCAGAGATGCTGCTAAATATATTGCAGTGCACGGTATAAGCTCCCAAAACAAATAGTTACCCACTCCAAAATAGTATAACCCCCAAAAACAAATAGTTACCCAGTCCAAAATGTCAATATTTCTGCCCTAACACATACAGCCTCTATGAATAGCTGAAGAATATAAATGGAATAACTAGATAGGAAGAAGGAAGAAGAAAACATAAATAATTATTTGCAAATAAAATGTTATGGAATCTCAAATACAGGGGGAAAAACTACAGTGGGACGAAAAATGTTTTACTCCATCTGGTGGTGATGAGTAGATGGATATTTTCAGGAATGGCTAAGAAAAGGTATTTAGAGGATAATTAAGGCCACAGTGTCTGATGTTCTACAGACATCAGTTTGTACCCCAACCTTGAAATAGTCTAGCTATATAAATTTGGCAAATTATTTAATCCTTCTGTAAGTTTGCTAGATAAGGCATCAAAATACAGAATTCAGTTGCATTTCTCTATATAACAAATAAAATATGAAATTTAATAAAAATATGATTTACAATAGCATCCAAGAAAACCTTATAATCAAATCTAGAAAAATATGTATAAGACTTCTACCTAGAAAGTTAAAAAATTAATAGTAAATTTTAAAAAATTAAGTAAGTGGAAGAATATACTAATGTCATGGTATGGAAGACAAAAATGAACAGATTAAACACAATTTCAAACAAAACACTACCCTATCCCCTCTTAGGTGGTCTGTAGTTTTAACTCTTGAACTTCCTTTGGGATATATCATCTATAAAATGGGAATAATAGTGTCTATCTTATAGTGGCGGTGGTGGTAGCTTTAAGTGAGATAATCATGCAAAGATATCACCATACTGTCTACAATACATTAAAAATCAACAAATGCTAGACTTCATATAATTATTATTGGACATTATAATAATTAAGACACTTGTGCTAAAAATGATTCTTGAAAGAGGGAGAAATTATCCAGGCATATAATGACAGAAGAAGAGCATTGCAAATCATAGGAAAATCCTAGGCAAAATCCTGAGCCATGAAGCAGTATTCATTAAGAGAATTGTAAGTATTTCTGTTGGGTTGAAGCCAGGGTTGTATGGTTAGAGGTGTCACCTATAAGCAGCTAGAGGGGTGAGAAGAGGTTACAGCAACTACCTTCCCACACTCTCAAAATGCTACTTGGCTTTACTTTAGTTTTAAATGAATGGCCTCTTTTTCCTTTCAAAACTTGATTCTAAGTCATCTGTGATATCCTTGGATTTTCAAAACAGACAGGATATATCTGGAAAGCTGGTTTAATTTGGAGATGGGGTAGTGACTGTAAGGAAAGCTGTATGTTTTCTTAATAAAATCAAGCCTTAATTCTGTAAATTGGGTGATGGAAAGAGGTGTTGCCTGTGGTATCAAAGTCCATTTCAAGAGATCAAATGGGGCAAGTAAAATCTTCAGGTGGTCTATGACTTCCAACTCATTGACCCCTTCTCACATGGAAATTCTTCAAGGGATCCAGAGGTATTACTTGGAGCCCAGGTGGAGAGAAGAATGAGAAGCCCATGACACTGAATTAAGCCCAGTGAATTGTTTAGCTTTAAAAGGACCAAAAAGGTCCTTTTGATTTGCAGATTTTTGAAAGAAATATAAGGTCACCTATAAGAATAGCTTTTTAAAGCACTTAATGGGGGAAAAATAAATTACTAGAGATTAACATTTTTCATTTTTCTTTAAAATTCTACATTGCAAGGATGAACAAAATGGGGAAAAATGCAGCAGAATGGACATTATCTTGTGTTTTATTCCAGGAGAGTAGAGAATACAAATTTCAGAGCTGAAGAAAAAGACATTTATCCCGCCAGCTCTGGGGCGGGAAGCAATATGCTTTATACTTCATTTCTATTCTAACCATCAGGTCTCCAACAGTTTCCCCTTAAAATACAAAAATGAAAATAAATTGCATTCAAATGTACAATGAAAGATAAGAAAGATCTGGTTTGTTTTTGTTATTTCTTTATAGTTCAAATATGTCTGAGGCTCTTTTTTTCAGAATGACAAGTGCTCATGGTCTAAAATGCAGTCAGTCTGTGTCTCCCAGATGGTTTAGCAATCAGCAAGTTGCTGTGCTGCATTTTGAGGGTAAAATAAAGTCAGGTGGGGGCAGGGTCATGCCAGCATTCTTGTACAGACTACATAGGGGACAAAACACACAACCTGATTGGGGTTAGGGTCCACGTTCACTCAATGGCATGATGAAATCACATATTATCCTCAGGGGTCCTTCCAGAGATGCTCCCAGGAATTGCATGGCTCCACTCTATTCCCACCACTCTCTAAACATCAAGTCCAGCCTAACATAAGACTGGTAAATGTCAAGAATTTTGTCTCCTTTCAAAAATGTCTTCATGTAAGTTTCCCAGCAGCTGGTTGTTACTTAGGGGCTATTCCAGAGAATACGTATTGGAGGAAGTACACTCACACTGTGTGTGCAAGTAGGATTCTGTGCTACTGTTGATAGTATTGATTCACATCCAAAGGCTATGCCTCCTGTGCTCCACCAGGGATAGGATCTGTGTTTTTGTTTTGGAAACACTAATAACTGCTACACAATTTTTTTGCAGTATCTGTGTACCACCTAAACTGGTGTTTCCTTGAAACGTTCTTCCTCCCTCCTTTCTTTCCCTCTTTTTCTTTCTTTCTGTATCTATTTTTCTTCCTTCTTTTCTATAAATAAAATTTTAAAGAAAGAAATTATATGTCACTACATTACTTGACAATAGAAAGTAAATTTAAAAAAATGAAAACAAAAACTGTTATTACATTTCAGCCAGATTTAGCTGCCTACCAAAGATCTATGCCTGCAACTTGACTTTTTTAATCAAAAAGGAAATTAATAAATGTTAATGAAATTTTAATTTCCAAAGAATCTCATCTCTGATGTAATCAGAGGGAATGGATGGCAAGGGAATATATATATATATATTTTTAACAATGTGACTCAGTGTTGGCCAATGCCTTGTCCATGTGACACATAAAAGTTCACGTCTGGTAGCACCAGAACAGAAAAACACCGAACTAAGTATATTTTTACAAAATCATGGTCTCAGGGCCAGCTCATGACAAATCTGCTTCTCCACTCAGCAAATACTTATTGCACATGTACTCTGTGCTGGTCACTGTTCTAGGCTCTGGTGATACAGTGGAAAACAAAACTCATAAAATCGCTCTTCTCACAGAATTGCACTGTATGAGTAGAAATTGAAAATACACAAATAAGTGATAAGGAAAATACATAGCAAGGCAGAAGGAGATCAGTGTCGTAGAAAATAACAAAACAAATATTGAGGATAGAGCGCTGGGGTGGTTGTAATGGGAAAGGGTGCCTTTGGCAGCAGGAATGATAAGCACAAAGTACACACCTGCTCTGCTGGAGGAACAGGGAGGGGGACGCTGGCTGGAGCAGACTGAACGAGGAGAAGCATGGTAGAGATGAGGAGAGACAGGTAACATGAAACTGAAATATGGACAGATCATGCATGGCCATGCAGGCTGCTTTGGCTTCTACTCTGCAGAGTGGAATAACAAGTTGATTGAAATTTGCTTGACTGCCCAATATCTCCTTGTAGCACTTTTCTCCTCTTACTAGCAGTATTTCCACTCCTATCTCCCCACCTCAGGTGGTCTGCGGTTTTAACTCTTAGTTTCCTATGTGGTCCTGTTCTCAGCAACATATCTGAAAAGCATACTCACAATGAAATAAAGGTCTGTTATCTCTGGAAAGTTGGTGGGGGGCATTGCTTTAATGAAATTTCTCTCCTGATTGGATTCATGCCAGAGTTAGTTAGGTTAATGCTCTGTTTTTGTGTCCCAGGGCAGAGTCAGAACAAAACCCTTTTGCGATTTCTATTTTACATATCCACACTTGGGTACATGGATTAGTTATCTAACCAGAAGGACAAGGGAAAAACTGTAAGGAAAAATGTGCAGAAAATGCACATTAAAATAGCTTCAAATTTATGCAGAAATATAAACTAGGTAAAACTGTATGAGTCAGAGTAGAGCAATAAACTTTGTGATTTCTAGGTTGGAAAGAGCAAGATCCTTGCAAATTGTGAGGAGTAAGATCCTTGCAAATTGTGAGGAGTAAGATCCTTGCAGATAATAGTTTTCCATGGATGTAAGCAGTGAAAGAGCTGGCTACATGGTATAGTAGTTTAAAGAGAGTTGAAAGTCTCCATTGGTTGCCAAATATATCTCATATTCTATTATAGTGCAAAGAAATTGTATAGAAGGAATTGACTATCAAATATAGGTTTTCTGAGAGTAGTGGCTTAATACTTCAGAATAAGTAATTGACACCATAGCTGCAATTAATCTATCTGAGTATGTTATCTCCTAATTGGAGATAAGACCCAACATGTATTATGTCAGGTATAGAGGAAAGGGGGAAATTAAAGGAAGGTTAAAAAAATAAGAGTTTACCTATGTGGGACTTCCTACTGGAAAGCCATGACTAAAGCAAGTAAGTGTGTGTGTGTGTGTGTGCGCGTGCACGCGCACATGTATGTTATAGAAAAACAAGAACCATACTGTGATATAGTCTTGCTTATTTTCTCAGCTCTGAAAACAGCACCTAGCACATAATGAGTAATCAAAATATATTTTTGAATTAATTTACTGAGTAAACAAATAGTGAAAATGTGAGAGGAAAGAGAAAGTAGGATATAAATACCTCTAGGGCAGGGAGTTTTTCAGTAAGGAGAAAAATGACTACTTGAAGGAACTTTCTGAAGACAGGAATGCTGAAGTGTGGTAGGGGAGGGTGATAAAATAAAACTGATAGGGAGGATAGATGTCATCATTATCATCTGTCCCAGATTATAGAAAACACTTTGAGTATAAGATAGACATGACATTGACACCAAGAGTCTGAGGGTGGGTCAGGCCTAGGGTTTCCTTTGTCTTCCCATTGCCTCAGAGTAAATAAGGGGCTGTGATCTTGTTGCAAGAGAGTGTTTTTATGCCTGAAGGTTCATATGGGTTTAGGAAGTCGTTCAGGTTTGCAGAAAGAGAGAGAAAGACAGAGATCCATTAGAAATATGCTTTGCTAGTATTTTTTAAGTTGAGGAAACAGCATTGACCTGGAATTCTAGTATTATAAATGGGCTGACCACTCTATAAGGCAAATCTAAATTTGTACGATGCTCATCATCTGTATACTGGGGAAAGAATCTGAATTGCCTGGGGACCTTTTAAAAATGTAGGTCTCCAGGCCCACTGATTTATATCTTCTGAATTATAACTTGTTTCTGTTTTTAAGTTGAATCCCTTCATATATTTCCGAAGTTAGCATCCTGGCAATAGGAAGCTACCTGGGTAGGAGTCAGAGCCACCTTTGACAAATCTCAGACTTATACATTTTCTTTCTCCTTGAAAAATAGAAACACTAATAGCAACTTCCCCTATCGTATGTAATACTACAATGTCTCATACACAATATACAGCGAATGTACAGTTATACCTTGTTATATACCATCTCTATAACCTTAGTTCCATTGTCCTCTTAGTTATTAACATGTTTGGTATAAATGACCACCTATCTCAAGGGACAAGATATAAAGGTTAAAAGCTTGGGCTTTGGAGTCAGGTATTCAGAATACGACACTACCAGATACTCGCTGGGCAATTTCTTCAAGGTCCCTGAAGCTGGCTTCTCTGCGTGTGTGCGTGTGCGCGTGTGCGTGTGCGTGTGTGTGTGGGTGCGTGTGTAGGTTTATTTTCTCCCCTGAAAAAGGAGGATAACATTCATACCTGTATCACAGGGTTGGTAGGAGGATTAATATAGTTATGGTGCTCTGAAAGCACTCAGTTTAATGCCCAGCACAGAACAAGAGCTCGTATTTTGCATTCACTTCTATTGCATTGATATTCCAAACCAGAATCACAGTGTGAGACGAAATTGTGTTTTAGGTGTGAAAGGAACATAGAACAAGAAGAATCAGTAGGGAAGTTATGATTGGAGACAATTTTCAGTGTAGGGACAGGAACCTTTGTTTCTGAAAAATAGTATGTTTAAGGTCAGGTGATAGGGAACAGGGAGTTTGGCTATGCATTTGGATATAAGTAGCCTATAGTGAAGTTCATCTCAAGAAGACATTCTCAAAGTCTGCTCAAAACATTGAAATTTTAAAGAACCCATAAAGCAAGGCCAAGCATGACTAAATAACTTGCCTGAGGTCTCAGAGTTAGGGGCAGACTTAAGATGAGCTGAATTCTAATATGTTGCACAGATGTTTAACACAGTCCAAATGACTAAGAAATAACTATAGCAAAAGTAGTTACTGAACATATCCACATCTGTGCACGACATCCATAATTTTTAAGCCTGCTGACCTGCCATCATATACCAGTTTAGTTTCTTTGTTTGGTTTACAGCATATGACAGTAACTGAAATATGGGGGGGGGAGTGATGTTGGGTAGAGATTTATTGATCTCTAATCAGTTGAGGGAATGCCATGCCATTGAGGTGTGTTAGAGCATAAAACGAGTTGAGAACTACTGTTTTATGTCTGCGATTGCCTTATTTTCTTTGAATTTTTTTCAATAACCCATTATTTTGTGTCTTGAGTGTAATTTCATGCCTGCCCTTAGTACCTGAAGAATGATGATTGTGTGTGCTAATGAATCCTGGACTGACATTCCCACCAGGATGGGCATAGCACAGAGTGCTGGGAGGCCAGGCTGCGTAGTCAATGGAGCGTTTGAGATGAAAATCCAGTCCACATTCTGAGGAGGGGGAAAGCAAGAAGTCTGTGAGGGTGGCATCTGGAAGTTACTGCCTTGACCCTCCCGTTGGCCATGATGCCTAAAGAGGAGAATAAGAGCCCTGCCTCTGGTTCTGAAGGCAGCTGTCAGTAAAGCACGAAGCTGGAGTGAGTTGGAAAACAGACACTCATGAGACGGGCCTATCTCTGTGTCTGTTTCCCAGCTCTCCCCAGGTGGAATGAAAGGGAAAAGTGTAGAGGAATCCTTATTCAAATGAAGGGCCAGAGTCATACCTGAACCACAGCAGCTAAGCAACAAACGGCAATGGGCAGTCCTTGCAAACAGTCTACACAGATCAAACCAAGCATACTTTATGTGAGCTTTGCAGAGAGAAAGGCCAGTGCACGTGCAGGGCTTACCTCACCGCAGCACCTCCTCTGCCCCTCATCTCCATTCTCAGATCCATTTTCAGGCCTGTATTCCCTAAGAAGCAACTAACAGCATTAATATGAACAGCTAACAAATTTTAGCAGTTGCTGTGCTTCATGTACTGTGCTGAACCCTTTGCATGTAAGCCTCACAGTGACCTCCCTGGGAAGACACCATTTTAATCCTTCATTCACAAACAAAGAAACTGAGACTTCAATAGGATAATTCCTGAGAGTAGGTTGTGGATATGGGAAGGGAAATTGAGGTGTGAAGGTGAAGAGAGACATTAAAAAGGTCTGAAAGTAGTTTGTGTGGGCTGTTTGTAGGAGCTGCTTACTGCCTTTTCTGCTAGAAATCTGTTAAAAGGAAATCTGAATAAACTATGGACCTTAATCATCATGTATCAATATTGGTTTATTAATTATAACAAATGTACCATAGTAATGTAAGACGTTGATAGTATTAGAAACTGGGTGAAGGGTTTATGGGAACTCTTTGTCCTATCTTTACAATGTTTCTGTAAATCTTAGACTGTTCTAAAGCATAAAGCTATTTAAAAAAAAAAATAAGCATGGTCCCTGACCCCATAATCATTATGGTGTACTAGGAAAGACATACTGGTTGCTGAGAAGGGGTAGAGGTGGTTGAATCAGTTAGGAGGCTATTCAATAATACTGCAAGAGAGATTATGGCACTTTGGAATAGGGTGATGTGCTATCGATGTAGAAAAGAATAGATTTCAGATTTATTTAGAAGGAAAAAGAGCTGAATTGGTGAATGTTTGGAAATAACATTAGTTCAGACTTGTGCAGGCTGATGAATGGTGGTAATATTGAGAAGATATGAAAGGCATATGATTCTTGGGATGATCATGATTTCTGGCATGCTTGGTTCATGGTGCCAGAATAGTGCACAATACATTTGTATTTACCACATACCTAGAACTCAAAGTGGAGGTCTGGTTTGGAGGCACGACCTTTAAAACATCTGCTTAGGAGTGGTAATTAAATCCAAAGGATAAAGTCAAACAGAGAAAAAGTACTGAGAGGGAAGAGAGCCTAGATTCAAGTACTAAGGAACTCCAAAATAGAGTGGAGTTAGATGAGCTTGCAGAATGGTTGAGCTAGAGTTGCTAAAAACATGGGAAGTCGATCAAGAAAGAATAAATAATATCGTGGAAGCCAAAAGAAAAGACTGTTTCCAGGAAGAAGTGGTCATTGGGAATATCTCTGAGAATTAAAGTGAAATGAGGACTGGAGACATATGGCGATTTAGTAGGATGGAAACCTATAGTGGGCACTACTGGATCCCCTTTGCCATTTGTGCACCCCTCACTTGATAGTGGGCTCTTATTCTAACAACTCACAACTGCAGTTCCCTTTGAATGACTTGCCTCAGGCTGTCATTCAATATGTTATATATATATATATATATATATATATATATATATATATGTATATATATACACACACACATTTATTTATTTATTTATTTATTTATTTATTTATTTATTTATTTATTTATTTTTGAGATGGAGTTTCGCTCTTATCACCCAGGCTGGAGTGCAGTGGCGTGATCTCGGCTCACTGCAACCTCCACCTCTCAGGTTCAAGCGATTCTCCTGCCTCAGCCTCCTGAGTAGCTGGGATTACAGGCGTCCACCATCACACCCAGCTCATTTTATGTATTTTTAGTAGAGACGGGGTTTTGCCATGTTTGCCAGGCTGGTCTCAAACTGCTGACCTCGTGATCCGCCCGCCTCGGCCTCACAAAGTGCAGGGATTACAGACGTGAGCCACCTGCGCCCGGCCCACGCATGCACATATATTTAAATCCTTCATATAAAATGGGGATAGGTGAGAAAAGGAGCCCTTTCTACCAAAGATTTCCCCTTTCCAAGACTGGAGCAGTGCTTTAGAACTAGAAGTCCAACATCGCAATTTGCAAACCACTGAACCACAACAAGCCACCTCTCCAGGAGGCCAGTAAGTCCTCATTATTAAAGACAGCCATGGCATTCAATGCCCCCTCTTTATGGGAAGGGTCTAGCATAGAGGTAGGTGTGATGCAGAATATATGTTTGTGTAGACAGCATATGAAGTGGCTGGAATATGGAGGGACTCATGGGAGATCCTAGATTCAAGGGTCCACAGAGACAGAAAAGAATTGTGGAGGACTGGATGTAAGCAAATGTGGCTCAGCTACTTCTAGTAGCTGTTAGGGAGAAAGATATGGGAGTTTATAGTGGCCATGTGGCACTTACATGAGCACACCTACTTGCCTGCATATCATGTAAAATGTTGGAATACCATTTTTAAAAAGGGAGACTTTAAAAAGAGGATAATATCATCTCAGAAAGAAATAAGTTAGTTGTAAACCTTTGTAAAGATAAACTTTATCCAGCAGAATCACATGTTTTGACCTCATTTCTCAAAATATAGTTTTTCAGGATAAAGATCTAATCATTAGCATTTTAGATTTATGATATTCATTAGGCTATAAGAGAGGTTTTATTTCTCAGAACAGAATGAATCAAAGACAGCTTTCAGGCAAAGACCAGGCAAACATATTAGTTTAAAACAACAATGACACCCTATGGCAACAGATAAATCAATAAAAGATTTTTTAGGATAAATTCTTATATATTATGCTCAATTAGCTCATATATACTGAAAGAGTTTTTATGTTATGGATACAGTGAATGTGCTTTAAGTGCAAGAATGATTTAAAGCCCCCCAGGGTGAGGAAAAAGTAGAATGTAGCAAAGGCAAAGGGTGTGAGGTCATCCATTAACCTACTTACATAAACAGGCCGCCTCATGCATTCACAGAGCCAGTTTGCTGCATATGTATGTTATGTCAGGGGACACAGCAGCATCAGATGCCCTGTCTTCCCCTAGCTGATACCTCTAATAGAGCTTTAGTGTACACAGGCATGGCAATCATCCTTCTCTGTGTCCAGTGTTTCTAGCTAGAAAAATTCTACCCATGGCCCCTGCAAGAAAAGAAACTTTGCTCAGGAGCTGCCCCTGATTGGATCAAGAGTGATACCTTTCTCAAGGGTGGCCTGCTCACAGGCTGATCAGTAAGTCCATGGGTGTTCTGGTGCAAAAGTCATGGTAAGAATGATAAGAATGATGGTTTGGGTTATAAGCTAGCTAATTAGGTCAGGTGCTTACAGAATTTTGATGGGCAAATTTTAGAAGATTTCCTAGTTAAAAATTAGAAGACAGAAAAACAGATCCAATTGTAAATCTGAAAACGTGAGTCACAAAAAATCCGGGTTAGCAAAGCACAAGTTGATAGTGATCCTTTTGCATACTACATTTCAAACAAACTATTTTGGTTCCCGATAGGCTGGCCTATGTGCTGGCTGTGGACTTCATATTGACTTCTTAAACCGAGAAATTTATATTGCTTTTTGCTCTCAAGTCTCATCCAAGGCAGTCTGAATTCTAGATCTACTTTATGAGATTACTGCTGTTTTTCTCCCCACCACCCCCCACCCCCGCCAAATTGAGATTATAATGATCTCTGAAAGAGGGAGAAGTGATGTTCTTCAAGGGAAAAAAGGAAAAAGGCATGAGGCCTCATTATAACCCAGTGGCACAATGGTGTTGAACGTAAATTTTAGGCCTCAGGCAAACTTTTGCAAAAGTTCATCTCCTTGGCCAAAAAGTTATCTTCCATTGGCTAATTCTTTCCTATACTTTATATATAATTTGTACGTCTAAATGATTGAATTTTAGAGCTAACAGGATTATCTCATTTGTTTCTGTCCTTGTTTGGATGAGATAACTAAAGCACAAAGATAATGATATGACATTGCCAGGCATTTGAGGTCAGAGGAAAAACTACATTCCAGGTTCCTAACTCTCTCCTGATGGGTGATCTTTCACACCATCACACTGTCTCTAAGGCCAGCTCTCCTAGTTCTACAGGACACCATGCATCAGCTCCATCCTACCCCATCCCATTGTGCACGCCAGAAATTACTCCTGCCTTAGTTTCATTGAACTCCTCTAACAAGGAGCACTTATGTAGACACTGTTCCAGGATCTCCTGACTCAACCATATATTAGGTTCTTGATGACCTCGATTACTCTTTCTTTCCTTAGCTTCAGGATTATAAACCTCTTTAAATTTTATGCAGAGTTTGCGTCTAAGTGCCTCCAGTGTAAAGGACCCATGATTTTCATTAAAGATATTAAGAACCATGGCTTTAAAAACGCATTGTAAGCCTAACTCTTGGCTCTCCTGAATCTAATGAATGGTATGCCTCCCACTATGGTCTCTTAAGAGTCTGTGCATTGATTAGATATGACAAAACCTTTACAGGGAAATAGAGATATTACTACATGTTGCATCAGTTGTCTTTGCAGTATCTGGCTCCAAATATTTCTTGCAAATGTGCCCTGTTTCCTGCTTGAATCTTATGGTAGATGGCACCTTGTTTCCTGATGATAATAAATGGTAGGCATAGGAGGTAAAAGAGAAAGCAGCACCAGATGCTCACGCATCTGCAAAGTTTGAATCAGACTTGTCAAATAAACCTCCGAGAAGCCTTTCCTGATAACTCTTAGAAACCAACAAACCTATTTTCTCTAACCATAAAACTTGGTATGTTCTACAGAACACAGCTAATTTTTATTTTGGGGCAAGATAGTTCTTCTGCACAATTTATTAACACAAAATTATAGCACTTAAGACATGCAAGGCTAATCTTCAGTCCTCTCATCTGGCAGGGGATATGACTAGGACCCAAGTCACTTCCCACTGAGTACCTACATATCTTACCCTCCTTAGTAAAACCTAAAGACCAAATAAGGGTAATTACCGGTTAATATTTTGAGTTCAATACCAACCCTCACAGTGTTCACTTTAGTCCAATTGTGAGGCTAAATTCAGAAAATGGACAACTTGTTTGGACCAGAGGAAAGGGTCAGAATGGACTTGTGCAGGTTGAGCTCTGCAAAATCCCAGCACTGTGACACCTCTCACACATCAGTCCAATGTAGAAACAGTGTCTCCACTACGTTTAGGAAGCATTACAATCACTTACTGTGCATTATTAATTTCTAATAAATATTTATTAAATACATACTAAAGGCCAAGAGACATGCTAAGTGTTAAATACATGTTAAACATATATATGTATATATATAAAGTATAATACATATAAAACAAAATCAAAACCAAACAAAAACCATGGTCCTTGCATCCAAAAGCTCATAATCTAGTAATGGTATTTATGCCTCCTATTTATTGCACACTTACTATGTGGTAGGGGCTCCCTTAGCAATTTCAGCTTTTTATCTCATTTAATTTTCTTAATACTATGAATTTACTTAATACTATTTACTTAATTTACTTAATGCTTCTCATTGTGTAGTCTAGGTATCAGTATCAGTCTGCAAACTGTTAACTTGTCAAGACCAGGTAAGTTTAAAAATCGAGACAAAGTTTAGAAACTTTAATAGAAGTGTGACATTGTTGTGACATTCAGTGATTCATTGACGGTCTCATCTCATTGAACAGGATATAGATCATATGTGTGTTTTTGTACTTACACAGTGAATTGTAGTGGAGTGTAGGTAAACTGACTTTCAAGAAAAAGCAGCAAACAACAACAACAAAAACCCACTTTGACTTGTAGCCTTGGCCAATTTATGATGTAAATACTCCCACATGGTTGATTTGAAGCTACCAATATGATACAGAAAACAGAAAATTTAGCAATCAGCAGTTCCAAGCCAGCACAAGCTGGCTTCAACACATCCTTGGGTGGTATGAGCTGTATACTCATGATATACTCATGCATGACAAGTGGTCGTGCATGATAGGGTCACTTATTAATCCATGACAGATTAGAGGAAAAAGAACTTATCTTTCAGAATTACAAGGTACAAATTACTGGCTAATTACACATTGCTGTGAATTCTTCCTGTTTTTATTATCAGGTCTAAGTTAACCTTAGACGTAATGGTTTAGGGCCATCTTCCCAAAGATGTCAGGTGTGAAGATGAAAATTTAGCACACTTATCAGGATCCATTCCTCCACTTTCCTCCTGGAAATTTTATAAGAGTTTTTATTTTTTATTTTTACGTTAGTTTCCACTGTTTACTTCACTGTCACTCAGTACGTAGTTTTCATTGCTGAGCCAAGAAGTAGATTAATTGGAGCTCAGTGGTCTCTTTCAATCCAGAGATTCGTGATCTTCAATTCTATTATTTTTTTCTTCTTATTTGGTAATTTCCTCTCCTCCATTTTTTCTGTACTGTTGTTCTTCTGGAACAACGGCTTTCTTGCCATTTTTTTTTTCTCTTATTTTCTATCTCTGAGTCTTTCTCTTCCACCTTCAGGTAGATTTCCTCCACTGTATATCTCAACATCTCTACTGACTTTTAAAAATTCAGCTAGTATATTTTGATTTCCAGTAGGTCTTGATCTCTGTTCTTTGATTTAAAAATAGTATACCATTTTTCTTTCCAGAATGTGATGTTTCTCATTATTTCTCTGAAGATTCTATATTAGGCTCATTAATTTTTATTTCTTCTGAGTTTATTTTTTTCTGTGTATTATAAAAACTCTCTTGTACTGGAAGCTTTTTAAATTTGTGGTGATTCATTGATGCTTGATTACATTTTAGAGTGTGGCTCTAGAGATCTAGTTGGAACCACTACGTGTGTTTGTTTGCAGGGATTGTCAACTAGCGAGTTCCTTTGTGGGGCAATGAGGAATAACTGGCTTTCTTGATAAAGAGGCCCACAAATGTCAAATGTACAGGGTTTATTCTCTGGTTCAGTTTCTCTAGAAAAACATCCTCTACTTTGCTGTGTGAGGAACAATGTTGGGTCTCAGTGTTCTTGGCTCTGAGGGACACAAAGACCCTGGGGGTTTACTCCATTTCCTCTATAGGCTTTCACTTAATTCTCTTGTTTTCAATATGGCATCTTTCTTCTGCCTTCCTATGTAACTTTATCAGTGGACTGGAGTCCCCCTTTGGTTCAATTTCGTTTCAGAATATATCTCTGATCTCCTTCCTGGATTAGAGAGAGTTGTTTGTGTAAGACGATTGAGGGGCCTCAAGGATAAAGCCTGCCTAATAGGCTCTCAAC
Source organism: Homo sapiens (assembly GCF_000001405.40). Taxonomy (NCBI): domain Eukaryota; kingdom Metazoa; phylum Chordata; class Mammalia; order Primates; family Hominidae; genus Homo; species Homo sapiens. The sequence continues at coordinate 49,346,639 of NC_000002.12, forward strand.
TACTTTTGTTTTTTCAGCCAATTCATGAGCATTTCTGGGATTCTGTAGCACAAATGTGTGGTCATCCCCATCTACTGTCACTTAGGATTCAGCCTTCTCCGTTTTAGTAGCTCTTATTTTTCCTTTCTATTGAACAAAATTTGACATCTCATATATTTTATTAAAAAATCTTTCCCAATAAATATTTTCAAATTTTTCTTGTGGATTTATGCCTCTTTTTGTGCTTTTCCTCTTGGTTTTGGGAAAATATGAATAAAAATGTGTTTTGTTTCAACATGTTACCAAAAGAAGGGTGCTTTTAAGTATAAGCTATAATTCATGTCATAAGGCCTTGACCAGCTTATGACAATAAGCCAATTTTATAGTTCATTTTCAGGTAGATATTATTAAGGCATGCAGTTCTAGCAGCTTAATTGCTGAAAATTAGTTTTCTAAAGAGCTCTTTCTGTGATTTCTCAAAGTATCGTTTCATTTAAGATCTGGAAACCCACAGTAAGCCAAACGGTACTATAGTACTGGTACAAAAACAGACACAGACCAATGTAACAAACAGAAAACCTTGAAATAAAGCCACACACCTACAACTAACTGATCTTTTACAAAATCAACAAAAATAAGCAATGGGGAAAGGTCTAACCATTAAATAATGCTAAAATAACTGGCCATCCATATATAGAAGAATGAAATTGGAACCCTATCTATCACCACATAAAAGATTAAATCAAGATGGATTAAAGACTTGAATGTAAGATGTTAAACTGTAGAAGTTCTAAAAGAAAACCTATGAAATACCCTTCTGCACATTGCCCCAGCAAAGAATTTATGACCAAGTTATCAAAAGCAATTACAACAAAAACAAAAATTGACAAGTAGGACCTCATTAAATTAAAAAGTTTCTGCATAGCAAAAGAAACTATCAACAGAGTACAGAGACAACCTACTGAATGGGAGAAAATATTCACAAACTATGCATCCAACAAATGTCTAATATCCAGAATCTATAAGGAATTTAAGGAATCAACAAGCAAAAAACAACCCCATTAAAAAGTGGGCAAAGGACATGAACAGACACTTCTCAAAAGAAGAGATACATACAACCAACAAACATGAAAAAATGCTCAACATTACTAATCACCAGAGAAATGCAAATTAAAGCCATAATGAGATACCATCTCACACTAGTCAGAATGGTTATTATTAAAAAGTCAAAAAGTAACAGATGTTGATGAGGATGTGAAGAAAAGGGAATGCTTATACACTATTGTGGAAATGGAAATTAGTGCAGCCACTATGGAAAGCAGTTTGGACATTTCTCAAAGAACTAAAAATAGAACTACCATTCAATCCAGCCATCTCATTACTGGTTATATAACCAAAGAAAAATTAATTGTTTTATCAAAAAGATACCTGTACTAGTATGTTTGTTGCAGCACCATTCACAACAGCAAAGTCATTGAATCTATCTAGGTGCCAATCAACAGTGAATTGGATAAAGAAAATGGCATACATATACATCACGGAATACTATCCAGCCACAAAAAGGAATGAGATCATATCCTTTGCAGCAACATGGATGCAGCTGGAGAGGATTATCCTAAGCAAATTAACAGAAAACCAAATAACTCATGTTCTCACTTACGAGTGGGACCTAAACATTGGGTACACATGGACATAAAGATAAGAATATTAGACATTGATGGGACAGGGAGCAGGGCAAGGAATGAAAAGCTACCTGTTGGGTAATATGCTCACTACCTGACAGGTTCAACCATACCCCAAACCTCAGCATCACATAGTATACCCATATAACAAATCTTCACATGTATCCCCTGAATCTAAAAAGGAAGAGTTGAAATTTAAAAACAAAACAAATAAAATCTTAAAACTGATCTGGAAACCTTGTTTTCCAACCAAATCTCTATTCTGATTGCCAGCTGCTCTCCTGAGAAGGCCATGGGGCGGGCAAAGCAGGTCTCTGCTGGGCAATCACTGGCCTCCTCACTCTGGCTGTGGAGATGACGGAGTTCTGCTTTGACCTCCCCAAGATATACTTCATGCTCTCCCTAACTCTCCATATACAATTGCAACCAGTGAAAAGAATTGAAAGATAATGTGATTGAAGTCTTGGATGTGACAAAGCTACAACATAGAGAAAAAATTATCTTCAAGAAGCTCACAGGTCTAAACCTCAAAGGTTCCCTTCTACGCTCCTGGTGTGCCATTACTGGGCTAGGGCCAGTTCACTCCCTATTTCTGGTCAGTTCCAGTATTTCAGAGTCCAGTGGAAACTGACCCACATTGCCCAGAGAGGATATTTTCCTTCCATATTTAAAGACAGCCTGATTTCTCCCCTTTTATGATTAACACTGATTTCAGGGGAAGCCCCCTCACTGTCACTCCCTAGAATGTGATCTGACTTCACAGACTTTAGGTTTCCAAAGACTGAACTATTCAGACTTCCCTCATGCCTATACAGAACACCAGCTAGCCAGTTCACACGGTGCTTGGCCAGGCTCATCAGTTCCTTTTCTGAGTCTTTACTTTAAATAAGCAAAAACAGAATAAGCCTTTCAGTCTCCTCTTGCTATAACTTTCTCTCTGCTTCTGATCAGAATACATAACCCAATTTTAAAAAGGGGCAAAACACACTTTAGCAAAGAACAAAGAAGGATGGCAGATGAATACATGAAAAAAAAGTGCAAAAACTTTAGTCATTAAAGAAATGTAAATAGAAACAACATGGATATCACCTCTTATCCACTAGAGTAGCTAAGATTCAAAAAACAGCAGAAACATCAACTGATAAAATCAAGTGCTGACAAAATTGCAGAACACTGGGTCTCTAACACATCACTAGTGGGAATGCAAAATGGTATCATCACTTTGGAAAACAGGCAGTCTCTTTTAAAGTAAGTATAAATCTCTACTCATAGTATGGTACCGTAGCCATCATATTCCTAGGTATTTACCCAAGAGAGTTGAAACTATCCATACAAAGATCTGAACATGAACATCTACAGCAGCTTTAGCCATAATTGCCCCAAACTGAAAGCACCCCAGACGTCCATCAGCTGGTGAATGGTTGAAAAGTTTGGATACATATCTACAGTGAGAGAGTACTTAGCAGTAAAAAGCAATTTTTAAAAAGCAGTAAAAAGCAACATGCTACTGATACAGGTAACAACAATGATGAATCTCAAAAACATTGTGCAAAGTGCAAGAAGCCTGACATGAAAGCCTGTATGATGCTGTATAATTTCATTTATATAACTTTCCAGAAAAGGCAAAACTTAAGGAACAGGATAGATTACATGTCAGTGGTTGTCAGCAGCTGGGAATAGGAGAGGAAATTGATTTCTAAAGGACATGAGGAAACTTTGTGGACTGACAGAAATATACTGTATTTTGATTGTGATGGTGGTTACATGGCTATATAGATTTGAAACTGGATAGTTCAGCCCTAATAGAGCAGCTTGAGATGAATGTAGCCCAGAAATGCTTGAGCAACCTCATGAGGGGCCTTGAGCTAGAACCACCTAATTAAATTGCCCTCAGATTCTTGACCAACAGAAGCCATAAGATAATAAATTGTTCTAAGCTGCTAAATTTGGGGGTAATATGTAATGCAACTATATATTAATCTATATTATATATATTCAATATATTAATATATTACACATTAAAGTTATCCATGTGTCATATTATTTATTATATATTATATAATGTTATATATTGATATATTATTATAACATATATTATGGTGTTTTTTTTTTTTTTTTTGAGACAGGATCTCACTCTGTCACCCAGGCTGGAGTGCAGTGGCATTATCTCAACTGCAATCTCTACCTCGTGGGTTCAAGTGAATCTCCTACCTCAGCCTCCTGATCAGCTGGTACTACATAGAGGTGCATGCCACCATGGCAGGCTAATTTTTGAGTTTTTGAGTAGAAAGGGGGTTTCATCATGTTGGCCAGGCTGGTCTCGAACTCCTGACCTCAAGTGATCCACCCACCTTGGCCTCCCAAAGTGCTGGGGTTAGAAGTGTTAGCCACTGCGCCCAGCCTTATAGTATATATTGTTTTAGTTAAGGTAGTGGACATGTCAGATTATGCTGGATTTTTAGGTCATACATATGTATTAACTATTTTTTTATATCTGCTTTATATATACATATATATATATATATATATATATGTATTAACTATTTTTTGTTATATACCATCTACTGGCCTATCTACCTATCTATCATTATTCCAACATAATCTGCACGGGCTTAGATCCACTGAAAAATATACACACTGTCCTTTCATAAACAAAATACTTACAGTTTAAGTCTGAAATATTATCATTTGTATGACTTTAGTTTTCTTCTTTTCCACAATTGTCTTTTATATGACTAACCTAAGGGGCTTGTCACAATGATTCCTTACGTAATTAAGAGAGGGGCTTTCTTCAAAATACAGTATAGCATTTGGCATAAAAAGCTACAGTTTTAAACTGGTCGTAATTTTTAAATGGCAGTACATTTATTCAATAATTGTTTTGTGAGCATCACTTCTGTTTGAGACACCAAGCCAGGCATAGAGGTTATACTGCTGTAGGACATAAACGTCATCTCCACCTCCATGAAACTTGTGGTCTAGAAGGGAAGAGAGACATTAAATGAATAAGCCAACAATTGAATATCATTGTGATAAGATGCCATGAAGGAGATAGGCAGGATGGAAATTTTTCAGTTTCAAAGATATCTTATGGTTTCTACCAATCATTTCTGTATACAGGAAAATATTAGTTGGTTCATGATTATAAAACATATTTATGCCCATTTGACATAAAAAGAGAAAAATTAAAAAAGATTTAGAGAAAAAAGTATAAATTACTCCAGAAAGCCTTGTGTCCTTTTTAATCTCCTTTACCCATGGAAGTGTTCCTTCCTTTTTTAAGCGGGAGAAACTGGTTCTGTGACTGACCCTACAACTGAGATTCCACATAAGCACCAGCTGTTAAATTGTGACCTACATCCTGCCCCACACCTTGATAGGCTGAATTAGTATGTTGATCTTTCTGTCAGCAGCCACACAGGTCTACTAACAGCAACCAGCAGTGATTTCTAACGGCCCTGAATGGCCTTCAAGTCGTTTATGAGGTTGGTGTGAGCTTAGGCAGTATGGTGAGAAATCAAAGAGGTGGTTGCCCTGGGACTGAGCTGCTGTTGTCTAGGCAACTTTATTAAGAACCTTCTGTTCCTGGGAAAACGAAGCCTAAATTAACTCTTGAGTTCTTACAACTAAGACTTTATTTCCCTATTGGTCTCTGGTATTTGGGAACTTTCTACAGTTTCCAATGGAATTCTTTTTACCTTGTTTGGGGCCCTAAAATATTTAGCAAGTGGTATTGGTTTTAAAGATCTCTTAATCCTTCATATACAATTGAAAACAAACTCTTTTACCATTCAGATGCCGGTCAATATATTTATAGAATTAGATCTAACTCCAAATTCAATGATCAATTTCTGATTTGACCTCCAATTCTAAGGCTTTCCATACTAAGAAAAACCCACAGAATGTGATTTTTTTTTAAAAGCATGTTTCTTCACCTAAGTATAATGTACAAAAAATCACGTGCATTTCCTAAGTTTCAGCAGTGGCAGCCTCACGTTTATAAATTACAGCATGCGATGAGATATGTGCTTCATTGGAAATCAACATACCTTCTTTCAATATTTCCAACATGGAGAGTTTCTTCTCCAGTGTTGGAACAGGAAGCTGTTTGTTCAGTTGAGGAGACAGGAATACTTGCTGTTTTATGTAAATATTTACTGTGCACCAGGGACTGTGTTAGGTACTTTGAAGGTATTAACTCATTTAATCTTCATAACAACCCTGTGAGACAAATGTACTCGTATCCTTATTTTTTAGATAATGAAATTGAGACACAGAGAGGTTAAGCCCAAGGTCACACATGTGTATAATTTGGAGACAGGATTTAAACTGAGGCATTCAGGCTCTAGAGTCTATGCTCAATCATTGTTCCAGGACTTCCCAAAGTGGCCAGCTTGTGCTTAGAAATTACAGTATCGGAAAAATTGCCACTTTTAAATACTGGAACACACTTAGCACACTAAATGCTCACACTACGAGAGGTGTATACAGGGACTAAGACCAAATTATAAAATTGCAGGTCAGACTCACATATCCCAGCTTAGTTTTTTTTAGGGCATATTCCCATTGAACCATTGAGTAAAATGGTAGGCTGGATTGTCAGCATTATGACATTCTCCCTCTCTCTGTCTTTTCCTTGACAAAGCATAGGCTCTGGAGTCCACTTTGAGTCTTGGCTTTATTTTATTTATTGTCTTTTTATATCAGTCCATTAGCTTTTTGATTTTCTCATCTATGAAATTGGCCTGCTATTCCCACCACAAAATTCAAAGGAGGTAGAATATGTGAATGTTATGTAAAATATAAAGCACAAAGAATTTCAGGAACTGATTTTTGCTGTCTATATGTGCAGTAGGTGACCACTTATCTGGTGGAATTTGAAATCTTCCACGAAGGTCTTGCTTTCTTCTAATATATCTCAGTTTTTTTAAAATCAGTGCCTGAAATCCCACCATTAATGAGCAATTAAGTTTTGAAGATTTTATTTTAAAGAACTGATTTTTTAAAAAGCTAATACTAATTACAGGCATAATTCTTAAACCTATTCTGCCAATACACTGGGGATTTTTCAACAGATAAACTGGCCCTGTAAGAGACAGTTAGTCACCAAACAGGAAGAGGACAATAGGAAAAGAGGAAACATACACTTTACAGATAGTACATTGTTGCTAAATCCCAACCTTGAATTATTTGAAAGCCAGATCTCTGTGTCTCTTAATAATGATACTGTGATAGTCTTTACATTTCTCTTATAGCAAATTTGATTGCAACATTCTCATTATAATCATATTTTTATTCATTTATTAGGCATGTATGTATGTATGCATGTATACTGAGCACCCACTCTGTGCCACACAGTTTAAGATGGAGCACATACAATGGTGGGTAAGAAAGATAATGTCTAGTGAGGAAAAGGGAATTGGGACCATAAGCAGGTGATGGTTGCACAGTGTGATGAGGGCTAAGGGAGGTGTTAAGTGCGGGATGCCCTGGAACCACATTGGAGGAAAACCTAACACTGCCTTTGAAGGTCAGGAATGCTTTCTCAGAGGAAGTGATGTCTATTGTAAGAACGGAAGCAAAAGGAAAAATTAGCCAGGCAAAGCTATGGAAGAAGGGGAAGTGGAGGATTGATGTCTCAGACTAAAGGAATGGTGCATTCAGTGTTTCTGAGTTGAAATACAGCAATATGCAGATTCAGAGAACTCAAAGTTCCCCAAATGACTTAAGCATAGAATGTAAAGATAAGAAATTTGGTTAAAAAGGTAAATGAAGATAAGGCCAATGAAGACCCGGTAACTCAAACTAAGATATTTGAATTTTACCATGATTTGTATTATTATTGATCTGGGAGGCCAGATTTGATTCTGCATCTTTCATGGTCCCCAGTGCTCTCTGATCTCATCTTCTACAACTTGTCCCTCTACCCACTGTGCTGTAGCCAGGTACACTCTCATGTTATCACCCGTGCACTTGTGTTCTATCAGTCTTGCCCCTTCCCCAACTCTTTTCCTTCAGGCCTTTGCTGAAATAGCAACTTCTCAGTTAAACCTTCTATGTTCCTCTGATTTTAAGATCAATCTTCCTTCCTAACCTTCTCTATCTGTACTCCTCCTCCTGACTTCCCCTCTCAATTGTATTTGCCACCTTTTGATAAACTATGTAATTTATTTATTTGTTTATTTACCTCCACTCCACTTCTGGTTAAAAAGGAGTTTAAAAATGTACCTCCACGAGGGCAAGGACTTTTGATTATTATGTCCCCAGGATCTAGAACACTCCCTGGAACATGGTAGGAGGTAAAATATGTATACTGCTGAATGAAAAAAGAAAAGATTTTTAGAATGGTTACTTTAACTTCAATGTGGAGATAGGATTGGTGGCAGGCCTGAACCAGAAAGGCCAGCTGGAAGCTACTGGAGAAATCAAGACAAGGGATGGTGGTGAACTATACCATGGATTCTAACAGTCTTTAAAAGTAAAATCAACAGGGCTTAGTGATTGATTGGGAATAGTGGTAGTAGAGGTGGTGATATGTTAAAAATAAGGAGGAAGAAATACTTAATAATGATGTCCCAGTATGACAGATTGAATTATTTGTAGAGAAATATTTACTCTCATCCCCATTAATGTTCGATTTGGCGCTGTGGCTCATTTTGGCCAATGGAATATTAGCAGAGCAATACGAGCAAAAGCCTTAAATGTCTTTGTTCAGTTTTGCATGGCTCTTGCACTCCAGTAATCTGGTATCTGAAGAAAATGCTCAGGGTAGTCATTTGTCCTTTCAGCCTTGGCCCCAGAAGATATATGGGTGGAGCAGACCTGGTCCCAACTAGTTGACTTGACTAGTTGAGCCACACTAGTTGATCTGTAGCATGAAGCAGAGCTGCCCAGCCAAGTTCATACAAGATCAGCCAAATGAAAATCAGCCTTTAGACCTACAGGCATGAGATTAAATGCTTGTATAAACCAATGAGTTTAGAAATAGTTGTTCTGGCTGGGCACGGTGGCTCACGCTTGTAATCCTAGCACTTTGGGAGGCCAAGGTGTGAAAATCACGAGGTCAGATGTTTGAGGCCAACATGGTGAAACCCTGTCTCTGCTAAAAATACAAAAATTTCCCAGGTGTGGTGGTAGCACCTGTAATCTCAGCTACTCAGGAGGCTGAGGCAGCAGAATCACTTGAACCTGGGAGGCAGAGGTTACAGTGAGCTGAGTTCATGCCCTGCACTCCAGCCTGGGCAACAGAGGAAGACTTTGTCTCAAAAAAAAAAAAAAAAGAAAAGAAAAGAAATAGTTGTCATACAGCAACATTTTGGCAATATCTCACTAATACACCCAGGTTCTGGCTTAGGCTAGTTGGTAGACAGTTGGTGCCTTCTACAGATATAGGAAATCAACAAAAAGGAGCAAGTTTAGAGGAAAGATATTCAGTTTAAATTTGGACATACTAGGTTGAAAGTGCTTCTGTGGCATCCAAATGCTTTTGTCATTAGACAGATGGATGATTTGGTCTGTAGCCTAGGAGTGAGAACTGACCAAGAACTATGTTTGGCAATCTTTAGAAAACAGCAGATGATGGAAGCAATGAAAGAGAGTTTTGAATGAGAAAAGACCCTAGGACAGAGACCTGAGAGGCAGTTCACTTTATAAAGGGCATACAAAGCTCTTTTGAGCTGAAGTACCTTTTAAAAAGCTGGGTTTTATATGCCGGTTGAAGGCAGCAGAGTGTAGACAGAGTACATGTTCCACGGTTCTGGTTTGGGGGCTAAATTCAGCAAGTGTGTCTTAGGTCCAGAGAGTTAGTTACACCTCACAGCTTCTCCGAGTTTGATTCTGTCCTGTTGGTCACATATGTCACAGCTCTCAACAGATACAACAATAAGCACAAAGGACTGAGAAGGCCAATTTATATTGCCTTTTTCTAGGCTATATGCAAAGGCCATTTCTAAAATCTTCGTTATGGAAACACATAACAAGTTGCAATTTCCTTCTGATTATTAGGAAGGACAAGGAAGGGCAGAAATGTTCTTCTCTGCTCAATGATCCATGCAGTTTGAACGATATCCATCGTAGGCAAATTCAAGGCAGAGATAAGTTGAGATGTATAGCTCAGCAGCTCTCATAAACGAATTTAGTTCAGGTTGAATTAAGGTGATCTGTGAAAATGTGTTCCAAAACGATTCTCTTCAGTATTGGGGACACCAAATCATTGTGAAAAATGGCTTAGCACTTTTGGTAAATGTTTCTATTATAGCCTCATAACTCTATAGAAGTTAGACTAGGGACCTCTAATGAGCTTATTGAAATGGTGACCACTAAATACTATTTAATATTTGCTGTCCTTTTCTGAAGGCAAAAATATCTCTTCATTATGTTTTTGCTGACTGTTCTCAGCTCTATTGTAAATGGGTAGAAAGACCATATTTTCCCGGCAGGGAAAAAACAGTCTGCTAAAGCTAGGAATTACAAGTGATTGTTCTTGGTGAATAAGGGTGATGGCACTTGAAAGAGACAGGGACTTTTTCTGCTGGAGAATTCTACAAGCAGCATTTTCAGATTTAACGGAAAATGTCAGGCGTCAGATTTCTCTCATTGTTTACTTATCAACCTAGGCCAAATTCAGCTTAGAACTACTTCAATCCCACTTTATAATGTGTTGCAGGGATCAAGGAGATGTTAAGGAGGCCAGGGAAGGTTTCAAGGCATGGGGCACTTCCGGAGGAGAACTAAAGAAGTATGATTTCACTGGCTACTGAAAGGGAAGGGATTAAGTCTCTACATTCAGTACAATTGGGAATCATTAAGTATTTCAAACATTTGGAAAGCATGAGAAGATTTACCTTTGGAAAAAAAGATCACTTGGGTAACTGACTGAAAGGAAGAAAGAGTTTATAAAAGTGAATCAGTTAGGACCCTATTGCAATTGAGTTGTCCAGGTAAGAGATACTGATAGGTTGTATGAGGGCAAAGATGGTGGTTATGTACATGAAAATATGTATTTGAGACATAATTAATATGTAATCTAGGCAGGATTTGAAAATAGATGCAGAACAAAGAAGGAAGTTGTAAGAATCACCTTAGGAGGCTGAATAACTCTGGAAGAGGTCCAGTTTCTACTAATTAGTTAGTTAGGGTGCAAAGTGGGATAAGTTGGTACAGAAAGATTATTGACTTGGTTTTGGACATTTTAAGAATAAAGTCTTATGAAGACATCAAGGTGTAGAAGTACAGTAAGCAGGTGAATATACTGGTCCGAACTGCAGGGGTAGTCTAGCCTGGATATAAAGATTGGTGAGGATCCTGCATTGGTGGTAATTAAAGCTAAAGGAATAAATATATTCTTGTAGGGGGAGGATACTGAGTAAAGATCTTGGACAGGACTGAGGACCTACAAAATTTAATGCTTAGGAGAGAAGGAGATGTCAGAAAAGGGGGATAAGCAGTGAATAGGAGAAGAAGAAGGACAATGAGATATCTCAGAAGCAAAGGAATGAGTGTTGTAAGAAGGATGAAGCATCAGCAATATCAAGTAAGATCAGAATTGAGACACATCCCCTGGATTCAGTGACATGGAGACATTTTGTGAAACAATGAAGAAAAGAAAGCACATTTGAGTAGAATATGGGCAGTGAGTACATGTAACGCCTTATGAAATTTGACTCTGCAAGGAAATAGAGAGACAGGGTATTAGATGAATCAGGAGGGAAATGGCATGTCAAGAGGGGTTTTTGTTTACTTGTTCTTTATATGGGGGACACTTGATCATGTTTAAAAGTAAATAGATTAAGAACAATAATGAGGTAGGAGAAATAATTTTCATTATTTCTAAATAATGGAAATTATTTAGAAAATGGTATAGTTCAAGGGTCTAGCAAGGACTAAGGTAGATCAGGGAGTGCGCACTGAAGATGGAGTGGCAATGTGGGTCACTGGAGGAGGGAGTCAAGGAAATGAATGGTCAGCGGGTTGGACCGGGAATTCATGTGGATGATAAAGTGCTCAGATTTATAGCAGGACTTGGAGTGAAGGGCTGTGGACCAAGTACCAAAGTCTATAACTCATAAGAGCACAATCAAACACGTGATAAAAGACAGCAATGAGGAAGGGACAGAGTGGTATTGCTGTATGGCCTAGAAATCAAAGCAGCAGAAATTTTCATTAGAGGGTCAAAGCAGTGGTAGAGAGTAAGGAAGACGCCTCCACCTTTGAAGCCTAAGGTCACAACTGAGAGGGCTGTACGAGAAGTAGGATCTTCAAGGAAGGTGCATATTCAGTTAAAACCAGTCGCCAGGCGCGGTGGCTCACCCCTGTAATCCCAGCACTTTGAGGGGCTGAGGCACGCGGATCATGAGGTCAGGAGATTGAGACCATCCTGGCTAACACAGTGAAACCCAGTCTCTACTAAAAATACAAAAAAAAATAGCCAGGCCTGGTGGCGGGCGCCTGTAGTCCCAGCTACTCGGGAGGCTGCGGCAGGAGAATAGCGTGAACCTGGGAGGCGGAGCTTGCAGTGAGCCGAGCTTGTGCCACTCACTGCACTCCAGCCTGGGCAACAGAGCGAGACTCTGTCTCAAAAACGAAAACAAAAAAAAAAAAACAAAAAAAAAACCAGTCATCCTGAGGATGCTCAAGGGTGAGACTGGGTTTTGGGGGTATTTTTACTATATGTGGAATAGCAGACCCACTAGTTACTATGAAAGGTTTAGCATTCCAAAAATAATAATTATCTTATAAAGTATCTTTGCTAAATACTTAAAACTTAAATACTAAAAACAAGTATACATAGTAAATTTTTAAAAATTAATTTCTCAAAACTTATCTAAATTTGCTTTTGGTCAATTCAAATTGAGTTTTTAAATTAATAAGTCCTATTTCTCTGTATGCTACACTTCAGAAACAAGTTGTTTCTGTCTGCGATATTAGTGATCTTGCTATTTTCTTAAAACTGGAAATAATCATAATTACATTTTCCCTAAACATTATACATGGCATATCTAATTGTGCCACCGGAAGACTTCATCAAACAGCCACTCTAATAAGGAAAGCATAGCTTTTATTTGAATGGGGATTTTCAGTGCACTCAATGCCAACGTGCATGGTAGACTGTGATGTAAAAATGCAAGGCTGTGCTTCACCCTGAACGCAGTGGGTCTTCTACATGGATAAAATTTGGTAGCTGTCCAATGGCTCCCTACAGTTGCCCACAATAACCAGAACCTCAAGAACCCTTACCAACTCAACCAAGCGGGAGGATTGAAAGGCAAAGTGTTAGCACCCAGATGGGTATACTTTTTATTATTGTTACTTCTATATCTATCTGTATTCATTTTTCTTCCTTGGAATGTACTCAGCTCTATTCTGGGGAGCTTAGAGAATCTTATCCTCTCATCAGAAAGTTGATGAAGGAATGAGAGATGCTGTGGAATGGGCAATTTTAATTAGAGACATTTGAATAACATGGAAACTGAGGACAGAATTTATAAAATGAGTTACTTGTTGAACCAGAGATTTCTAGATCTCAATTTGCCAGTTAGCTTTGGGCCTTAACATATCATATAGTGTCATTTTCAATTCCATTTTAAATGCCTAGAAGTGCTTTATTCATAGACACCTATGTTGCCAACTATCTTTTTAGAAACTGGCTCCAATTTTTTCCCCTCTCTCCAATACATAACAAGCATGTATGCTATAACTTGCCAAAAAAGAAACAGGCACCCATTCCTATAAGATTAGCTCTAAAAAGCTACAATCATCACAGCCAGTGATAAAAACTTCTATTCCTAATTGGCTACGGGGATTAGGGATATAGTTCTTGAGACCTGAAAGTCACACAGACACTGGAAAAATGAAGAGAATGGTAATTTTCCAGTGTCCCTAATTAAAGCCATCTGTGTTTCCCCAGTGTGGTTCCCCTAATGTATTCTAATGCAAAATATCCTCTCCCCTTGTTTATTTTGGAACACAGCTGTTGTCTTAATTGAGCCTAACAGATAATGGAAATACTGTTGCTTTCCTTCCCCTTCTTCAAACCAGCAGTTTGTGGGATTTGAGGGAGATGGAAGGGAATCTTCTTTACTGCTGGGAATCTATATGTTCGTTTTAATTCTCCAAATTTATTTAGTTTAAAAAACGGGGATGGAATATATATGTATAGATGTGTGCACATACATGTGTGTATGCAACTTCTCTTGGAAGTTGAACTTTGGATAATTGCTTTCCTCTGAAGTCTTTTAATAGATACTTTTTCCCCACATTGTTATCACGTGATACATTCAGTGATTTCAGTTGGACTTACAAAGATTTTTTTTCTAGCATTTACCTTCTCCAAACTGAAGGAGGTACAATAATAAAGATTGGTTGGTTTGCACTTTTCCCACTTCCTACCCATTCCACCTGCCCACCTCCCCCACCCCAAAGTCATTGCATGCTACTTTGAGCAAGTTAAACTATTTCAAATTCCATTGTTGTCTTGATCTCTAGCAATTTACTTATATCATTACAGGATATTTCAGACTTCTGTAATTTAGTTTTTGCGGGCATGAAACATAAAATCTCATGGGCTGTCATGAATGAAAATAATGCAACTTTTAAAAACTAATAGCTCAGAATTTGCAATTTTAGAAAAATATTTTTATTAAGTCCCAAAAACAGTTCTATAGGAGCTTCTTTTTCCTATACATTTTCACTTCACACCTTTTTCTTGTTCATTAGATAATGAGTTTTAAATTATTTTCTATTGGGAGAATAAAAAGACAAGTCAGTCTTTTCTACAGATTTTTTTAATTACTGTAGTTAGTGTGATACATGAAGAGTGTGATTTCACACACAATTGTAATTACTGTTTTGAACATGGCTATAAATTTGTGCTGTAAAATACAGAAATTCCAAAAAATTTATATTGCATGAGTTTCAGCAAAAAAAGAAAAAAGAAAATGTATGGGGTTCCATACACAATGTAACTAGTTCTGGACTTGACCTCCTGCCATAAACTATAACACTGGACAAAATATAAAGGACTGACATTGACAATAGGAAGGACTGTAATTCCTGGAAGGACATCACAAAAAATGTGCCTCACATTCACCATGGCTTTCTGATTGAGGCTAGTTTCCTGATTCTGGCAAGAGGTAGAATCCAGGCAAAAACCTAATGAGTGGTATTCCTTCGGTGAGAAGGCAGATATGGAACCCAGGAGTGCTGAAGTCCATGGAACTTTCCAGGGAAGATATAGGAAAGGAGAGAATTCTGTATATGGGGGAACCACAGAAATTGCGTGGAGTTTCCTGTAGGACCTTAGTGAAGGCCTGGGCTGCATAGGTATGGAGTGAGACCCCTTGACTACTAGCAGAGAACAGCCAACATGGAGTGAAAAGTGAAATAATGATACTAAGGGTCACACAATGCTGGCAGAAATAAGTGCTCTAGCCCAGTCAGAATGGTAAAATCCTGTAAAGATCCATTCTTTTACCTAAGACACCAGAAAGGGCACCCCTTTGCAGTAAGAACACCCTAGAATAAGGGCAACTCTAGTGAAACTTAAAACCAAACCTCAACAGGATCATAGAGAGTTGCCAAAAATATTAACTCCCTGGCCCCCAAAATAAAACAAAAAAATAGCAGCAGCTCAATACTCTTCAAGTTGAGATTTGGGTGGGGACACAGCCAAACCATATCATCCCGCCCCTGGCTCCTCCAAATCTCATATCTTCACATTTCGAAACCTATCATGTCTCCCTAACAGTCCCCTAAAGTCTTATCTCATTTCAGCATTAACCCAAAAGTCCACAGTCCAAAGTCTCATCTGAGATAAGGCAAGTCCCTTCTTTCTGTGAGTCTGTAAAATCAAAAGCAAGCTAGTTACTTCCTAGACACAATGGAGGTACAGGTATTGGGTAAATATAGCCATTCCAAATGGGAGAAATTGGCCAGAAAAAGGGGGTTACAGGGCCCATGAAAGTCCAAAATCCAGCAGGGCAGTCAAATTTTAAAGCTTCAAAATGATCTTCTTTGACTCCAGGTCTCAAATCCAGGTCATGCTGATATAAGAGGTGGGTTCCCATGGTCTTGAGCAGCTCCACCCCTGTGGCTTTGAAGGGTACAGCTCCCTCCTGCCTGCTTTCATGGGCTTGTGTTGAGTGTCTGTGGCTTTTCCAGGTGCATGGTACAACTGCCGGGGGATCTAGTATTCTGGGGTCTGGAGGACGGTGGCCCCCTTTTCATAGCTCCACTAGGCAGTGCCCCAGTAGGGACTCTGGATTGGAGCTCCAAGCCCACATTTCCCTTCTGCACTGCCCTAGCAGAGGTTCTCCATGAGGGTCCAACTCCTGCAGCAAACTTTTGCCTGGGCATCCAGGCGTTTCCAGACATCTTCTGAAATCTAGGCAGAGGTTCCAAAACCTCAATTCTTGACTTCTGTGCACCCACAGACCAAACACCACACATAAGCCACCACAGCCTGGGGCTTCCACACTATGAAGCCATAGCCTGAGCTGTACACTCACCCATTTCAGCCATGGCTGGAGAGGCTGTGACACACGGCACCAAGTCCCTAGGCTGCACACAGCATGGGGACCCTGGGCCCGGCCCATGAATCCACTTTTTCCTCCTGGGCCGCTGGGCCTGTGATAGGAGGAGCTGCTGTGAAGGTCTCTGACATGGCCTGGAGATATTTTCCCCATGGTCTTGGGGATTAACACTAGGCTCCTTGGTACTTTTGCAAATTTCTGCAGCCAGCTTGAATTTCTCCCCAGAAAATGGGTTTTTCTTTTCTATCGTATAGTCAGGCTACACATTTTCCAAACTTTTATGCCCTGCTTCCCTTATAAAACTGAATGCCTTTAACAGCACCCAAGTCACCTCTTGAATGCTTTGGTGCTTAGAAATTTCTTCCACCAGATAACCTAAATCATCTATCTCAAATTCAAAGTTCTACAAATCTGTAGGGCAGGGCCAAAATGCTGCCAGTCTCTTTGCTAAAACATAATAAGAGTCACCTTTGCTCCAGTTCCCAACAAGTTTCTTATCTCCATCTGAGGCCACCTCAGCCTGGACCTTATTGTGCATATTGCTATCAGCATTTTTGTCAAAGCCATTCAACAAGTCTCTGGGAAGTTCCAAACTTTCCCACATTTTCCTATCTTCTTCTGTGTTCTCCAAACTGTTCCAATCTCTGCCTGTTACCCAGTTCCAAAGTTGCTTCCACATTTTCGGGTATCTTTTCAGCAATACCCCACTCTACTAGTACCAATTTATTGTATTAGTTCATTTTCATGCTGCTGATAAAGACATACCCTAAACTGGGAACAAAGAGAGGTTTAATTGGACCTATAGTTCCATGTGTCTGAGAAGGCCTCAGAATTATGGCAGGAGGTGAAAAGTACTTCTTACATGGTGGCAGCAAGAGAAAAATGAGGAAGAAGCAAAAGTGGAAACCCCTGATAAACCCATCGGATCTTCTGAGACTTATTCACTATCACAAGAATAGCACAGGAAAGACCAGCCCCCATGATTCAATTACCTGCCCCTGGGTCCCTCCCACAACACGTGGGAATTCTGGGAGATATACTTCAAGTTGTGATTTGGGTCGGGACACAGCCAAACCATATCACCAGGTATAAAGATGAGTTGAAGAAAGTAAAATATAAACTGGTACAATATTAATTCTATGTAGACTTTGATAAGAATACAACCACTAAAGAGTAATAAAAAGAGACATTACTAAAAACTAAAAAGCCAGTATAGGAAATAAAGTGGAATACAAAGGATGCTTAACTCAAAGACAGCCTCAAACAGTGTAAAATAGTGTAAAAATAGTATAAAAAGAATAGTGTAAAAAAAGACATAAATAGAAAAACTAGCAAATTGTTAGACTTAAATCTGACCATAACAATATTACATTGATATGTAGTAAACTAAATACTCCAGTTGAAGTTAGATATTGCTAGACTAGATAAAATAGCAAGGCCCAAACATATAAAAGGGAAACACTTTAAATATAATGATGGAGATGGTCTGAAAGAGTAATAATATGTCATGTAACAGCATAAGAAAGAAAAAGAATATTACACATAAAGATGACCATTTCATAATGATAAAGAGAGGCTAATTCAATGAAAAGACAAAATAATTATAGATTTATATGTAACTAAAAATAGAACTTCAAAATTTTTAAAGCAAAAATGGACAAAACTAATGGAAGAAATAAGTCAATCCATAATCACGGTGGGGAATTTTAATATCCTATTATCACTAATTGTTAGATGAGCAGTCAGAAGAATTCATTGTCAAAAGGATATAGGGGATCTGAACAATACAATCAACTCAGTGGATCTGATTCACATATTCAGAATACTAAACCCAGCAGTTACAGAGCACAAGAGCACACATTTTTTTTAAAGTCTCAACATTCTTGAAGATAATTAATTCTTGTAGACTATGTTCTTTAACCATAATGTAATTAAATTAAAAATTAATAGCAATAAGATACTTGTAAATTTATCAAGTAATTAGAAATTATAAAACACTTCTAAATAACTCAAACCTCTATAATGAGTCAAAGAATAAATCACTTGGGAAGTCAGAAAAACTTTCAAACTGAATGATAATGCAAATATAACTTTACAATTTGTGATGCAGCTTAAGCAGTTCTTAGAGCTATGTGTATAGGTATAAATGCATATTTTACAAAAGAAAATAAGTTTAAAATTAATAATCTATATTTGTACATTAGAAAGCTAAGAAAGAAAAGGATATTCAAATCAAAGTAATCAGAATAGAGAGAATAAAGATAAGAACAAAAAACAAAGTAGAACAATAAACAAAGTCAACAAAAATAAAACTTGGTACTTTGAAAAGATTACCAAAATTCACAAATCCAAGCAAATCTTAATAGGAAGAAAAGAGGAAAAATACAGATTGCCCATATGAGATGGAAGAAAGAATCCACTACAGATTTCAGAGCCATAATAAAAGGATGGTAAAAAATATTGTGAATAACTTTTTCAATAAATTCAATAACATAGGTGTAATGGAAAAGTTACTTGAAAGTCCTTCTTGCTAATACTTATAAAGGTGAAATCAGAAATATGATTATTATTTTTAGGAATGAAATTGAATCCATAATCAAAACCTTTCCTGTTACTATAACTTCCCATGTAATATAACATGATTTCATTAGTAAACTTCATCAAACATATAAAGAATAGAAATCTTAAACTCTTCAGATAAAGGAAAAAAGGAATACTTACCCATATTTTTTATTATACCAAAAACTGTCAAAGGCATTAAAAGAAATCAGTATCTTTTATAAACATAATAAAAAATCTTAAAAATCTTAGAAAATTGAATCCAACAATATATAAAAAGGTAAAATGTCACGATCTATCAAGTGGATGGATCTAAGATACAAAAACTTCTAATAATACAAAAATTTCAACATTAATCATTAGTCAACACTAATCTAAGTTAATAGAATAAAGGAGAAAAAAAATCTTATTATTGTCTCAATAGAAGCAGTAAAAGCATGTTACAAAAGTCACTTGGGATAAAAGTTTCCAGCAAATTAAAAACCAAAAGAACTTTATCCATTTAATAAAAGGGATCTGTGGATATATTGAATGCTTTTCACTAAGACTGGGAAAAAGCAACAATGGCCACCCTTAACCATTTTATCTAGTATTATCTTGGATATTCCAGCCTGTATAATAAGGCAAGGAAAGGTGTAAGGATTAGAAACATATTTTCTATATGTTCTTTCATATGGAAAATATTAAAGAATATCTCAAAGTTATGAAAATTAGTAAGTGAATTTGATGTTACAATATACATAAATGAACAAACAATTGGCAAATAAGGTTCTTATAATAGCAAATAGCAAATATTAGATTTTTAACAAACAACAAAATATGTGCAAAATCTCTATAATGAAAACTATAAAATATTGCTGAGAGAATTTAAGGACCACTTACAAAGTAGAGAGATATACCATATTTGTCAATTACAAGATACTGTTAAGATATCAATTCTTTCCAAATTGACCTATCTATGCAATTCCAATCAAAATCCAAGTGGGCATTTTAAAGAATGGGAGCTAATGAAAAAATGAATTGCTCTGCGTAAAGTAATAGAAATCTTCTGTTAAAAAACAAAAAACAAAACAGCAAGAAACCGATGAAAATGACAACTGACAATGAGTCTTCTTTTCCATGAGACAATAGAGGTGATGGGGTCTATGTCAAACTGAAGAGCACACTTGTCTCAGAAGGGTCACACCTACTGATTTAGTGTTACTTGATGTGTCGAAATGGTAGTGGCCAGTATTATGAATTTCTGACTTTTCAAAGGAAGCTAGAAATTATTTATGTGAAAGTTTCTAATTTCAATTTTCAGAATACTTCAACCCATTTTTTCTAACCATAAGAATGGGAAAAATGAGATGTCTGAGAATCTGAGGTTCATATTCCATCATTATGTGTTCTGGTATAGACTTTAAGAGATGGTAGTTTTGTAAAGAAAATAGCCAATGGGAGATAAGGTTGAGTTGGAATTTAAAGACCTAAGCCCATAAATTTTAATATGTATTGAATACTTTCTTTGTATCAGGAAGTAAATGTAGGAACTACTTGTATTTTTGAAAAGGAAACTGAGTCTTCAAAAAGTAGCACATACAGGGAAGAGCTGGTGTTTAAACTCAAGTTCGTATGATTCTTGAGCACAAACTGTCAGCCACATAACTCTGTTTCTCCCCAGTCCTTAGTAGGTGTCTGGAAAAAGTCCAAGTTAAGGAAGCAGCACAAGTAAGGGGTGGAACTTAGAACTCAGCACAAAGCATACCTCTTATCTTATCTGTGTTGTTTCCTCCCAATTGCCACCATCAATTGCCACCATCAAGAACAGCACAGCTTTGTGTTACCATGTCAGGACCAAGACAATCAGCACACTTACTCTTTGCATTGAGAACATCCTCCAGGAATGTCATTCATTGTTTAAGACTTATCACTGTCTCTGCAAGCAAAGCTCATAGTCTCAGCTGACCTCAGTGAACACAGTAATTTCCAGACATGAAACTAATAATCTACTTGAGCATTTGTGAGTCCAGTGGAGTGAACTGCATTACCCACTCCCATGTGTGATTAAAATCAGAACAAGAAGACAGGCTCAGGAAGCATAGTAAAGCCCAGGGACACACAGGGGGATACTGGTTATGCTTTCCAGCCTGCCTGCCTCCCAGGTCTTCCACCTCCATCACTTCCTGGGAAACTCCACCACCTCTGCAAGGATCCTAATGTGGTTCAGGGGAGGAAGACCCAAGGACAGAGAATGTTGTTCCAAATAAAGATGGATCCTTGTCCTCAGAGAGCCAAGGGGACACTCCTGCTCCCAGAGGGCTCTAACTAGATAAAAACAGAGTTGAGTTGGTATGTATTAGTATAGCATGCTGGTAGGCAATCCATAGACAAATGTGGATGCCTAGTCATCTCCAGTACACATGGGGTCTTGGCTTGCCAAGATGCACTGCTGGTACCTTCCTTTCCTTAATGCCTCCCTCCTGTTCCTTGCTGCATCCACCTCTTTATTCCCCCAAGTCTTACGTGGGAAATATCAAGAACAAAGGCAAAGCAAAAATAGTCCTGAGATGTTTGAAAAATACCACTAAGGGAAAGACTGTAGAGTGTGTTTGCTCAAGGCAGTTTTTTAAAATAATGTTAATTCAGTGGACTAGTCTTCAGAACATTCACAGCTAGTGGATAGAACACACACTGCTGTAATATAGTAAGTGCCACACAGAGATCTATACCCAGTGCTTTCCTTACCCCCACTTCCAATTGGCTTCAGGCAAAATTAATCGCACTCTGGAAATCCTCATACATTGAAGTTGGGGACAGGACAACACAGCTTGAGCTCTGCACATGCCAAGAGGGCAATTTTCCAGCCCCACACCCTACTCAGTTGTGCAATGCAAACTCATCTATAATTTCCTACCTAAACTGGAGCTGTTTCAGTGGGAGGACTTTATTCCCTGTGGTTTTTAGTACATTTTGACTTTCACTGCCATGAGGTGACTTCTCTTAGTTAAGCCAAGCAGAGGCATCTCACTATTTGATTGGCATGTGCCTTCACAGGAGAGTGAGCAAACATCCTGGACAGCAAAGGAATGATGCCTGACTTGCAGATGTTTCATTTTGATGGAGGGTCTGATGCTTTACTGCTCCAACTCTTCCTGTTTTGTGGGAGAAGAGATGAGCTTCCCAGTTAGATGAGTCTGGGTTTGAATCACAGTAATGAATGTCCTTGGGCACATTATTTAAACTCACCGAGCCTTAGTTCCTTCACATGTAAAATTATGACAATAATACTTGCACTACTTAAATCATAGAGTTGTTGTGAGTAGTTAATGAAACCATGCCCACAAGCTACTTAGCACAGGACCTAAAACATATGAATTTTCAGTAAAGGTTATTTATTGCACCAACTGCCACCCACTCACACATAAGAGATGTTCAATAAACACTGTGCAAAATCAACAAGGGAAAAAGACAAAATGAGAACATGCAAACATACATCCTTCAAAGCTGAAGTTACACTTATAAAGTAAACTCATTGCATACGTTCTTCTCAAAGCCACCTTCCCTGGGACAGAGAGGCTATATGGTGCACTGACAGGAAACTAAGAGGAGCCACCTGGCATGGCTGACTCCTGCTTTGTTCAAGAATGGAAACCTTTAGTTGTGCTGAATTTGTGAGATTTGCCATCTCTGGATGCACAAACACAAAACACAACCACATAATGCAGTGTGGAAATTAAGTATGATACGCTATATCAGTTCTAGGCACATTAGTGGAGATTGAAAATGGTTTCACACTTAGACATTTTCAATGGATGATAAATAGGGTTAATGGATTGTGACTGAAATACTTCTGCCCTCTTAAATCTTCCAGGAAGCTTTTAAAACTGGTAAATACATATTCTTCATGATGGCTTGCTAAAGTCTGCTCTAATTCAATTTCAAGCTGCTTAGGACTGTGCAAAATGCAAAAACCTGCTTGCAGAAACATCCAAACGTTGGCACTTTAAAAAAATTGAAAATGATGCTTTAAATCATTAAGCTTCCTAGAGTTTTTTGAAGTCCTATACATTAGCATTGGCCTGGTGATATTCTTTTAAGAATAGAATCCAAGGATAGTATTTTGTTTGCCTGTTTATCTCTGGAAGTTTTGGAATGCTCAGGCATATTCCTTGGATTGATTTGTGTAATGCTCCACATATGTGGAAAGTCAAAGAGGGATTTTGAGCCATGGATCTTGTCATCTTGTAGGATGCAAGGTCCCGCACTTTAAGACACTTAGTCGTGAGGGAACCAGGCTCACTTGAGTCAAAGGAGGAATAAGACAGACAGTTAGCACTGCCACGCTGTGTAAAGTTACCCACCATTGTTTCCTTAGTATAACTACAAAGGCTTGACAAACATATTCCATGAAGAGCATTATGATCCAGTTATCTTTACCAAAGTATTCAGTAGTTACCTGCTGTGTTGCCCTCTAGTGATAACGAAGAAATCATCAATGGCAAGAAACTAGTAGCTGTGACATCTCAGCAGGATAGATAAAACACCAGGAACAAAGAAGAAATCGGAGGCAGCTGCAGTTTGCCATGGAGCTGGTGAGCCCAAGATGGAAAGGATGTAAGGAAAGAACAGCGAAGCATGAGAAATATTAAGACACGAAGCACACAATTCAAGCGGAGACTAGATAGGTGTGTCTTAACTTCCCCAAACATATTACCTTTGAGGCAAAAAGGGAACAAAGTCATTATCTTTTAACCCACATCCTGGGGATTGTAGAAGTTTTTCTACTGGAAGACCAACATAGCTGTGCATTACAGAAGCATGCTTTAATTTGGGTGGGAACTCTGGTTTCAAGCCACTTTCCAGCTAGACTGGCTTTTCATTTCTGTTTTTTAAATTTTTTCTTGTCTTGAGATTTTAATTGTATCTTTTGAAAAGGGGAATAGTCAAATCTGCTGCACAAGACTTCTTTTCTATATTCAGTGAGACAGAAATGTTTTATAAACTTCAGTTCTACACAAATGTCAATCATCTACACTAACACAATCATTAATTTCTCATTAGGAAATAAACCAACAAGACAGAGTTTCTCCTTCAAAGGAGCTCAAGTCCAGAGACCTTGAACTAACACGAGTACTGATTCCTGGTGGATGGACTGGAGAAGCAAGTTTACCTAAATTATGTTTTCATCTTACTTCAATGTAGCCTCCACAGCATCCAAATAGTAAATTAACTACAATGAGTATTTCTAAAATGATTTGCTAACAGTAATGGTGAATCGAATATTTTTTTTTTTGTCTTAGGAATATTCTCAAGAGATTTAGAAGAAATGACTCCTGGGGGCCAAGCATTGTACAGATTGAAAGTGGTTCCACTTTTTTTTTTTTTTTTTTTAAGTTCAAGGACCCTTAACATCTGTGCCAACCTGGGAAACAGATAAAGAATTATCAGTGCTTTGGTTAACCCAGTAAAGACTCGACTACAAAACAAAACAGAAAATTACTATCTATTCTTATTCTCATTTTATAAAGGCAAGATCATTTTAACGCCCTTTCTTCAAAGTTGGAAGGACACAATCACTTTTTTTATTTTTATTTTTGTAATAGCATCAAGAAAAACATACTTAAAATCCTTCTGGTGTCCTAGAAAAGTCAAACATTGCCAAGCTGGTAGTGTCTGCATACCTGCATTTGAAAACAATTTCAAATTGTTTTCAATTTGAATGGTTCTGGGTACATTGGTCTTCTAAGACATCTCCCAAACCTAATTATTTCTTGCCTTCTTCTCTCCTATAAGTAGCTACACCATCTTCAGGAGCACTGAGGACAGATGAGACTCTAAAATTTATATTCTCAGAAGCTTGTAACCCTTGTTATGGTACTTCCTGGAATAACTGATTTCTCACTGTACTGGGCATTTGACAGCCACACTTTTCCCCCTGCATGTCTTTCATCATATAGAAAGAAAACCACTCAGGATAATGGAATAAAGTACCACATTAGGATCTATAAGCATATGTGTATTTATTCATAACAATCCTGAAAATAATTTAAGGCATTTAAATCAATTGCACATGTATTCACCATATAATTTAATTAGCAATTATGGAAGGCACCATAAGAGCTCCTATTACACTGTTTGTTTCTATTAGAAATAATTACAAATGAAAAAATACTTGCAGCATTAGGAATGGTATTCTCTTTGTGACTGTAAGAGGGCAATTTGTTTAAAAGCTTCACTGATGTCATATATGCAATAGCTATTTGTCATTTCAGCAAAATGCAGTAGGTATATCTCTGTTAAAGGAAACACTGTCACTGTAGCACTTCACATTATTTAAATATACATAATGAAGCCAACAGAGTTAGGCACTCACTATCTACTTAAATGGTCTGATTTTTAAAATCAAATGGAATTTTGGGGAAAAGGAAGGGAAATATTAACCTCGATTTTTATATTTACCATAATAATATTTACCACCATTTATTATATACCTGTTTGTTCCTGGGTAGGGTACTAGATTTAACATATTTGATGTCTCCAGTCCTTATGAATAACTCTAATTCTTACAAGTAATCTCCATGTTACTCATGAGAAAAGTAAAACTCAGCCAGTACTTTATGTAAATTGTACAGGGTCAAGTTACATGCATCAGAATGTAAAGTTGTATAAAAATGTCCATATTATTTCCAGAATAGCACATTTTCATCACTAAGGTATAGTGCTTTAGTGTAAATAATCGGCGAAAAATCCACTGTGACGTGCTTTTGGATTTCCTTTTAAGAAGAGCCAAAAGAGGCTAAATTATACACTGCTAGGTGCAGAAGATCCCATGAACAGTCATAGAAATTCAGACCTATTCATTGTTTCTAAATTTCATTGCAAATATTTTTGACTACCTTAGTGAAAGCAAACAAAAAATGAATTCCTTTCTCAACAATTTTCCTAAGAAAAATGAAAGACCTTTTTTTCTTCTTCTACAGAGATCAAACATAATCAAAAGACCTTCTGAGCACTTAAAATATAAGATCAAAGGGAGAACCTCATTCATGCAAACTAAAACTCAACTTGAATGAGACAGTCAGCATATGACCTTAGTTACTTCCTCGTTCCTCTTTCAAATATTTTTGATGAGTTCTCAAAAGCATAGCAGGCTCACCTCCCAACCCATTTCTTTTCTTTCTTTTCTTTTCTTTTTCTTTTTGAGATGGAGTCTTGCTCTGTCACCCACGCTGGAGTGTAGTGGCCGGGTTCAAGCGATTCTCCTGCCTCAGCCTCCAGAGGAGCTGGGATTACAGGTGCACACCACCACACCCAGCTAATTTTTGTATTTTTAGTAGAGATGGGGTTTCACCATGTTGGCCAGGCTGGTCTCGAACTCTTGACCTCAGGTGATCTGCCTGCCTCGGCCTCCCAAAATGCTAGGATTACAAGTGTGAGCCACTGCGCCCAGCCTCCCAACCCATTTCTTTGGAGAAAGAACAAATTCATCTGGTAAACACAACTGGCAAGTTTTTTTTTTTTTTTTTAGTTGGTGTTTCAATACCTTTAAAAGTACTCCACTTTTTTTTCATAATTTTAACTTTTACTTTAAATTCAAGGAGTACCTGTGCAGGTTTGTTACCTTTTATCTGGGTATATTGCATGATGCTGGGGTTTGGGATATTAATATTCCTGTCACCCAGATAGTAGGCATAGTTTCCAACAGTTTTTCAACCCTTTCTCTACTCCCTTCTTCCCCACTCTATTAGTGCCCAGTTGCCATCTCTATGTTCATGAGTATCCAATATTTAGCAATGTTCTATTGTGGCCATCTTTATGTTTATGAGTATCCAGTGTTTGGCTCCCACTTGTAAGTAAGAACATGTGGTATTTGGTTTTCTGTTCCTGTGTTAATTTGCTTGGGATAATGGTCTTCAGTTGCATCCATGTTGCTGCAAAGAACATGATTTCATTCTTTTTTGTGATTGTGTAGTATTCCATGGAGTACAGTCAACTCAAATTGTTAATTAATAGAAAATTACATCTCTAAAAGAATTCTAAGAGTGATTGCTTTATTCAGAGCTTGCTTATTTCTATGACTCTGAAACCATTCTGTATGTTGTTGGAAAGGGGTACATATCTGATACATTTCATTGTGAATATATGTTCCTCAGGAACAGGACTTTACCTGGGACTTTATCGTTGTAAGAAAGATACTATCTGAATGGATCAGTATTTTTTCTCAATTGGTATAAACTAAGTAAAAAGTATCTGGAAGTTTTGTTGTTTGGATCTAGGGAACCACAATGCACATTAGTATTATAAAGGCTCTGAGACGTTCTGCAATAAAGAAACATGTTTAAATTAGTTTAACTGAGCAATTATGGTTTGAGAGTATTGCACTGTTTTCCAGCACTTCTGTTAACATCCTGTAGAACAATTATAGTGGACACAGAAATGTGCTATCCAGATATCCCTGTAAGGAAGGATTTCTTGCTCCAACTATCAGCTCTTTTAGGGTTTGCCTCAGCTACAGAGAGCCTTACCCAAGCGTCTGCCCCTTCCAGTGGTCAGGAGGGGAGTGGCTCCACATCCAACGGCTTATTGAAGTGCTAGTGTAAATGCCTAACCATTCTGGCCAAAGGTAAGATAGCTTTGACTGGCTGCATGTAATTCCAAAGCTCTCCATGGGGTTGAATAAGGTTTTATTGGGCTTGAGTGGCAGTTTGACTTTTCCTCTGCTTAATCCTGCTTCATCTCCCTCCTTTCCACCGGGTGGAACTCAATAAATACCTTAAACACCAAGCTCCACTTCAGAACTGTTTCTAGAGAATCCTATATGTGAACTTGTTACCAGGAGTGTTCTGAGAAAGGAATAAGATAAGATTTTAAAGCCAGGTAACTTATTACCCAGCAGGCAATGGAGACCCTGCTATTGGTGTTAGGGGAAGCACAGAGGGCTTCCAGCACCAATATGTCAGTGAATTGTTTAAATTCTTTTCAGTAGTGAACCAGGATGGTGCATTGGTGAAAAAGAATGCAATGGCTGGTGTAATTTATCATGTATATGAGAAATCCAGAGGAAGTAGTAACTATATTGATATGAGATAGGATGACTAGTGATTGCTTAGCTCCACTGGTATCCACCCCTCGATCCCCCTAAAAAATAATAAAAAGTTGTGATTGACTGCCAGGCAAATGAAAGCCAATTTTAGTGTCAGACAGTCTCCCTGGTAGCTTATAAAGATGCTCTTATCTTTCCAAGTTGAGGTGGGGAAGAGCAAGTTGTGGACAGGACTAGGACTTAATAGTCACAGTGGCCAATCTATGACTAATCAGAGGAGAATAAATGCTCAACCAAGGCAGATCTATTACTCCAAGGTCAGGGCACTATCTGGGCAATATATGGATCATGGATATCATTCCACTCTGTTAATTGGGGCACATGAGCAAGAAGTGGTCAGCACTCTGGAAGCCTTAGTAAAACACATGATCTTCAGAAGATAGGAGATAAATCTTAGGAAGATTCAGGGCCCTGCCAAATCAGTGACATTTTTAAATTTTATTTTATTATTATTATACTTTAAGTTTTAGGGTACATGTGCACAATGTGCAGGTTAGTTACATATGTATACATGTGCCATGCTGGTGTGCTGTACCGATTAACTCGTCATTTAGCATTAGGTATATTTCCTAAAGCTATCCCTCCCCTCTCCCCCGACCCCACAACATTCCCCAGAGTGTGATGTTCCCCTTCCTGTGTCCATGTGTTCTCATTGTTCAATTCCCACCTATGAGTGAGAATATGCGGTGTTTGGTTTTTTGTTCTTGTGATAGTTTACTGAGAATGATGATTTCCAATTTCATCCATGTCCCTACAAAGGACATGAACTCATCATTTTTTATGGCTGCATAGTATTGCATGGTGTATATGTGCCACATTTTCTTAATCCAGTCTATCATTGTTGGACATTTGGGTTGGTTCCAAGTCTTTGCTCTTGTGAATACTGCCACAATAAACATACGTGTGCATGTGTCTTTACAGCAGCATGATTTGTAGTCCTTTGGGTATATACCCAGTAATGGGATGGTTGGGTCAAATGGTATTTCTAGCTCTAGATCCCTGAGGAATCGCCACACTGACTTCCACAATGGTTGAACTAGTTTACAGTCCCACCAACAGTGTAAAAGTGTTCCTATTTCTCCACAAAAAGGATTCCCTATTTAATAAATGGTGCTGGGAAAACTGGCTGGCCATATGTAGAAAGCTGAAACTGGATCCCTTCCTTACACCTTATACAAAAATTAATTCAAGATGGATTAAAGACTTAAACGTTAGACCTAAAACCATAAAAACCCTAGAAGAAAACCTAGGCATTACCATTCAGGACATAGGCATGGGCAAGGATTTCATGTCTAAAACACCAAAAGCAATGGCAACAAAAGCCAAAATTGACAAATGGGATCTAATTAAACTAAAGAGCTTCTGCACAGCAAAAGAAACTACCATCAGAGTGAACAGGCAACCCACAAAATGGGAGAAAATTTTCTCAACCTACTCATCTGACAAAGGGCTAATATCCAGAATCTACAATGAACTCAAACAAATTTACAAGAAAAAAACAAACAACCCCATCAAAAAGTGGGCGAAGGACATGAACAGACACTTCTCAAAAGAAGACATTTATGCAGCCAAAAAACACATGAGAAAATGCTCACCATCACCAGCCATCAGAGAAATGCAAATCAAAACCACAATGAGATACCATCTCACACCAGTTAGAATGGCAATCACTAAAAAGTCAGGAAACAACAGGTGCTGGAGAGAATCTGTGACATCTTTAGTCAGCTAGTGTTCAAGGGTGTTTTGCAATATTTCATACAAGTAAAAGACAAGTTATTGCACATTGTACCTCCACTATGAAGAAGGAAGGACAACACCTGGAGGCCTATTTGGGCTCTGGAGTTAACATATCCTACAGTCAGGAATAGAGCTAAAACCCATATACCAGATGGCATGAAAAGCTGTCAGTTTTGAGTAAAACCCAGAGTAGGAAAAGACTCCACAGCAAGTCGAGGCTGTTGTGCCACTTGAGCCATATGACCAGACTCTACGGTAATGGAGGTACCAGTGGTGATGTCACATGGAACTATGGAAAACCCAAGTAGGAGTCTTCCAGTGAAGATTCCTGGGGTTCTCAAGTGAGGCCAAGTCATCAGCAATATAAATTTTAGGTCTTTTGTTAGCACCAGGTTGACAACTCGCGGTATGCTATCTCATCCTACTAGAAAAGGAATACCTAGTGATGAGACACTAAATAACCATGCATCTGGATTTCTTATGATGAGCTGGGTTCTTTCAAATCCACCAAGTCATAAGGTGAGGCAGGCCCGTCATTCCTTCATAAGATGGGAGTAGTACTTGGTATATCTGGGATGAAGTATTTTAGTCATGAATGGAGCACAAGCAAACTGGTAACCCAAACTCTCATGTTAGCCACAATGGTGCAACAGAGCTTCTTCCTCAGCTCACATTTATGGTCATATAAAGAATTCTTTAAGATCAGGTAAGAGAAGAGCAAAAAGCCTAAATGTGGCTTGCAGATGTGTGAACTTAGCATGTGAATGTAAACCAAAAATGACCAGCAGCTGAACAGCAGCCTCACTTAGGAGTGGCCTTGAACGACAGTGGTAGAGGAAAACGTCTCAAGGGGTGGAGTGAGGAAATGGATTTTCATCTTGTGTAGAAAGAGAAGTGGCTTGAGATTAGAGTATACACAAACTCATGAAAGTGGTAAAAGGCCTGGCCAGCTGGCCAGGAGCTTTAAAAAAAGAAACCTTAGAATTGTGGGACAAGATCTGAGCTAGAGGGATGTAGAAAATCAAACACAGGAATGTGGAAAAACAAATCTAGGAATGAGCATGAAGTGGAATCTTTGTGTTAATACCCACAAAAGAGTACCCAGCAGGGAAGAGGCAATATGCGACTGTGTGGACGGAATAATAACTTGACCATTGTTACCAGTCAGCCTCAGACATTGCCCACCCCAGGGTTGGCACAATAAGCATATGAATGGAGTGGTCAGGGTTGGAGAGATTTAGGCTGTTCAAGGGCATAACAGCATAAGCTTCTGTTTACAAAGGTTGATTTGGTTATTTTGCTGCTGAGTGTCCACCTGTCAGCAACAGAGATTAACACTGAGACCCCGATGTAATGATATTCCTCAAGGAGACCAACTAGCCACTTGATAGCAAGTTGACTATGTTGGAACAGTTCCATCCTGGAAGGACCATATATTTGTTCTAATAGTAATGGATACATATTTCATGTATCAGTTTGCTTTTCTGACTGTGGCATAACCATGACCAGTTTTTCAGAGGCTTATAGAGTATTTAATCTGCCCAAATAGAATCTTAAATACAACCATTATGTCAGACCACAGGACTCATCTCACAACAAAGTAAATGTTGGAGTGGGCCTATTAGCATGGGATAACTTGGTCAATCACATACTATACCATTCAGGAGCTACTTTGAAAATGAATAATTGGAATTGTCTGTGAAGGTCAGCAGAGATGCTACCTGAGGGTAAGAGAG
The DNA here is from genome assembly GCF_000001405.40 of Homo sapiens. Lineage (NCBI taxonomy): Eukaryota > Metazoa > Chordata > Mammalia > Primates > Hominidae > Homo > Homo sapiens. The sequence goes on from NC_000002.12 coordinate 49,377,945, forward strand.
ATTTAGAATAAATAATAGCAGTGGAAGAAAAACACAAGTATCAGTTGTGGCTTTGAGAATATACACAGTATCAGGGATTGTGGTTTGCCAAACTAACTTTCATCTTCAAAGATTCATCCAGAAAGAGAGGCCCGCTGGAATGTTAGAGGAGCTGCTTCCTGAAGGAATATGAAGTGTGTCTGAGCAGCACAAAGGGGCACCACTGTGAGAGAGAGAGGTGTGTTGCCCACATGCCTTTTCAAGGAAGAAATTGTTGCCCAAGGTATAATACCTTCAGGGTTTGCCTTGGCCACAGAAGGTTGCTTCTCACAAAGGCTGAACCTTCCCAAGGCAGCCCATACGCAATGAATGATGGAAGAGAAAGTACAAAGGCCTGGCTCACGCAGACAAATGCAAGACGGTTCCGATGAGCTGCATTAAACACACAACTTCCGAAGGGGTAGGTTGAAGGTTTGTTATACCCGAATAACGGTTCAGCCTTTCCCTCAGCCCATTCTGCTGCCCCACTTCCTTTAAGAGCCATTGATCCCTAACCTCCAAACTCAGTTCTAAGCGTCTGCTTCAGGAAATGCTACCATGACAAAAAGTGTTCTTTAAAATACGGATGTGGGAAAATTTATACTAGAAGATTGTAAGAATGAATTGTGTGCTTCTTACTAATAAACTCCGAAAAAATAAGTATCTTAAAATTATGACTGCCAAGTTTCTATCTCAAACCCTTTCACTGAATTTTATTTTAATTAGGTACATGTGGATTCGAGTAAGCAAAAAGAAAGGGAGAAAGAAAATATTGTATACTTTCATGCAAGACATTACTAAACCTGCAAACTATAAGGATTTTATGGCAGTATGGGTTACCATGTTGACTGTAAGTGGCTTAGAATCCTATCGAGAGACTAGAAATATGTGAAAACATAATCAGAATCACAGTTATGGTACAATGGTCATAAGGCAGTACACGGTTAATTTCTAAATGAGGGAGTAGAGCAAATACATGCTGTAGGAGCTGGAGTCACAAAGGGAGGACACTCAAAAGACTAAAAAAAATTAAAAATAAGAAAATAAAATAATCTCAGACTGAAGTGTTTGGAACCTCTAGAAAAACAGAGGGCTTTGAACTGAATTGGCCCCTCCCTTTCAAATATAACTGCTCCTGTATAAGATCAAAACGCTTGGAAAATTGTTGGAAAACTCTGCACATTTGTAAGGCACAGTGCAGTATTCTACAGATAACATGTGCTATGGACTGAATTGGTTCCCCCCAAAGTTTACATGTTGAAGCTATGAATTTGCTATATGAATTTGGAGACAGAGCTTTTACAGGATAATTAAGGTTAAAGGAGGTCATGAGTGTGGGTCTTATTCGACAGGATAGAAAGCTTTATAAGAGGAGGAGGAGAGATCTCTCTCTCCACTTGATGGCACAGAGGAAAAGCCATGTGGGACCTGGAGGGTAGGGGCTGACTGCAAGCCCAGGCAAGAATCCCCACCAGGAACCAAACTGGCCCCAGTACCTTGGCCTTGGACTTCCCTATAAATTTCTATTGTTGAAGCCACCCATTTTGTGGTATTTTGTTATGGCAGCCTGAGCTGACTAAGACAGAAATTACCCTAAAAGGAGAGGCAGCCTCTTCCCTGTCAGAGTTTATTTTCTGCCAGAAACAGAAAACACTGGCAAGACCCATGTCAAGAAGGGAAATGTTCCAAACACATGTGTTGTATATGAGTGGGAGAAGAGAAAGATAAAATACACACATATAGCCCACTTTATTTTCGTTTGATATACCAAGTTTATTTGATTATAAGATATTATAATCCTTTAATTCCATAAGTACAAAATAAGCATGTTGTGTGAGAGACATAAAGAAAGGAAAATATTCTTTAAGTAGGAATAAGACCCTACAGAGAATGTATGGCAGTTTGGAGGGTAGGGCTAGTGTAGGGGGAGAATTGATGATATAATCTTTTGATTTAAATAAGAGAGAGCAATTAAAATGAACAGAAGCCACAGCACCTAAATGCAGAACTGCATTTACATAGAAATAAGAACATTTCATGTTCAAGAAATGTCAGTTTTCTATAAATATAGAGGTTCAGTCATTACCACCAGAATTATTCATCATACTATGATTCAAAACAAGATGAATATACTGGGCCAATATTCGGACTCCAATCCCAAATGAGGCCTTTAATGCATTTTTCAAAATGTCTTTGTCCATTCAAAAATAGAAGTTTGCTGAGTATCAGATAAGGTCAGGAAAAAAATGCACTAATTTCTTTCCAGGTTCAAGTGAGTAAGGATTAGTTACTAAAAACATTTGGGGCATTTAACTGACTTGCATAAATTCTCATTTTTAATATTAATTTATTATAATAAATCTAAAATTTGGTAATGGAAGAATATTAGTATCTGAGTTCTCATTCTAATTTTCTGATTCCCATCCAAGCTTCAACCTTTTCTCTTTTTTCTTTCTATAATCTACCTGTCTATGTCATATTCATTCTTCAAGTCCAAATTGAGACTCTCAGTTCATCCACAGAAGTATTTTTTTATGATTTGCTTTTAGGAATTTTTAGGGGACTGTGTGTGTGTGTGTGTGTGTGTGTGTGTGTGTGTTCAAATACCCATGTGCATTCTTATATCTTGCTCAGAGTTTAGTGTACACTTTAAAATATAAATCTCATTCCCAATCTTCACTTTCAGGATTTTTTGTTCTATTATTTCTTTCATTATTTCTTTACTATCATTGCCTGTATTCTCTCAGAGCTCCAATTAGACATATTATATTCATCTTGAATATATGATACTGGTTTCTAAATTTTTCTCTTGTATGTTTCATCTTTTTTTTTATACTTGAAGTTCTAGGGTACATGTGTACAACATGCAGGCTTGTTACATATGTATACATGTGTCATGTTGGTGTGCTGCACCCATTAACTCGTCATTTACATTAGGTATATCTCCTAATGCTATCCCTTCACCCTCCCCCCACCCCACAACAGGCCCCGGTGTGTGATGTTCCCCTTCCTGTGTCCAAGTGTTCTCATTGTTCAATTCCCACCTATGAGTGAGAACATGCAGTATTTGGTTTTCTGTCCTTGCAACAGTTTGCCGAGAATGATGGTTTCCACCTCCATCCATGTCCCTACAAAGGACATGAACTCATCTTTTTTATGGCTGCATAGTATTCCATGGTGTATATGTGCCACATTTTCTTAATCCAGTCTATCATTGCTGGACATTTGGGTTGGTTCCAAGTCTTTGCTATTGTGAATAGTGCTGCAATAAACATACGTGTGCATCCTATCTCCGTTTGATTCCACTGTTGCTACCAGGTCACAAATTTTTTCTTCAATGGTGATAATTCTAGTAAGTTAGTTCAGTTATAAATATGTATTTCCTTTTCAAACACATCTTATTTTCTATTATTTTGTCATAGCATGCTAAGTTTATATTATGTATAAATTACCTTCTCTGATCTCACTGAGACTCAATAGGATTGTTTCGAAAATCTTCTTCTGGCATCTCAATTATTTTTCTTCTAGGACCAGTCTTTCTGTTTGTTCTCTTTAAATCACGGCTTTGGCTTTACTCAAATGAGTGGTGGTTCTTGGTGGTGTTTGTTCGTATTGACACTTGTACTGGGTTAACGAAGTCAAGTGGCATGGTGTTTTTCTGAATTTCTTCTACTCTTTTCTTCCATAGATTTCTACCCTGAATGGAAAGGCTTAAATAGGTTCTGGGTGTGTAGTCAGGTTATTTCAACCAACATGCTGTTCTTTAGGTGCATGTCATAGAGTTTCCTCAGGTTTAGATCTACCTATTGCCAAAGAAGAAGAGATTTATTCTGGTAGTAGAGAAATTTAGTGTGTTTCTCTCACCAATAGAGCTGTCTCTTTCTCATAAGAATTGGACTTATCCCTCAGATTGAGTCTGAGCCTTCCCCTTGTAGTCAACATATTTTCTTCACTTTTTGGATTTTAGCCTGGGGAAAAGTGTTTTTGTCCCCACTGCTCAGTGTGTGTGTGTGTGTGTGTGAGTGCGCATGTGTGTGTGTGTAGAGGTCAAATAGCACTATTACTTTAAATAGAGTTCTTTAATATTAAATAGTTCTGATGGATTGCTCCAGGGGCACTTTTAGTTTTTTTTATGTTTTGTTTCATGTATTTACTTTGAGCTTGGAATTTCTCTGCGTCTGTGATTATCTCCATGATAATTTTCACTTGCTCTTGCTTTATGCTGTGATTTACTCAGTTTCATCAAGTCTGATCCATCTGCTTTTTATGTCAGGACTCTCTTAAATATCTTCAATTTTCTTGTTTTCCATCTGTTATGGACCCTGTCTTCATCTCAATCTGATATGATAATGTATATTCTTACAATTTATTTTACTTACTTTATTGACTGGACAAATATAACTGAGAAAATGATACTTCTTTTTGTCCACTAAAATGTTAATATTGAGGTATATGTGAAAAATAGCAAAAAGGAGGTAACTTTTTAATCTTTTTATGCAGAATTCAATGTTGGCCATATCTTAAAGCTACATGGAACCTCAGGTTGTTCATTACTGGTGTAAGATGATTACACTCCCAGGGGTATTTGCATTTTAATAGGGAACTCCTGTAGCACAAAAGCCTTAAGACCAAACGAAATTAATCTCTAAAAGTGAAATTTGAGATATTATGACAAAACTCTTGGGGCAAAAGAGAAAGAGGATCTTTCAAATGGCAGGATCTCTCTCTACTTTCAAATTACATCATGCCTATCGTAAGACAATCTTTAGTAGGGAAAAGCAGGAAATCTTAGGACCCCCACATTTCCCATAGGAAGTAAAATTTATTTTCAAATAGTCAAAAATATTAAAGGGCTGTCAAAAACACATCAAATTATTTACATATTTTGAAAAATATACACCATGGCTCTTTTAATTTTTATATAGTATATCACTGTATGAAATGCTACTTTGAACTATTACCTAGTCCATATAATGTCCTTTCTTCTAAAACCCACCAAAGAGTTTATTAAGATGATTTATATTAAGTGTACAATATTAAATGACACCATGCAATATGAAATGACATTCACACCCATGTAAATCAATACAGTGCCTGCTGTGACTTCAGGTATTTTGGAATAATTAATAATAATTAATTTCTCTGAGTTGGGCAAACTTCCAAAATTCCAAATGCCCATAAATGAGACTGAGCCCATGATTCTAAAACATGATTAAAACTAGACTTCTCCATTAAGACACAGTGGATCAGATAAATGACATGTTCTCTTACAGACTCTACGTTACTCAATTCTTTTTCTTTTCTCTTTGATTAAACCATATACAAGATTAATACACCTTAGGTTTCCTTTCCTCCTTATTTTCTTGTCCATTTTACTCCTGAACCTGGCAAGTAAGTAGAAATGGTGAATAACACTCTCAAAGCCTAGCACTTATTGTGATTATAGAAGATAAGTTCCTTAGTTTCTATTTTGATTGAAGAGATAAAATAAGAGAAAACATCAAGATGGAAAACAGCAAGAAAAAGAGATAAATACGATTTCTGTATCTGTTCAGATAAACCTAAAATAGAATTTTGACCACAACACAACTAGAACAATTGGTAGTGATAATGTAGACATGTTATTTTGCAAAATGGTACCCATTTTTCCTTTTATTTAAGCAACATAAATAATTGTCTTTACTTAAAAATCCAGTTAAGAACTGGAGAAAGATGCTTTTTTCCCCCTCATTGTGAAACAAATATAGACTGGAGTATATAAATATCTCTCTCATTAGATACAAGGAAAACATATTAAAAGTTGTATATCCTCAAGAACTTATAAAGACAAACATTTCTGGTCATCTTAGGCAATCTGTTGTCTGGACTCTGTGAGTCTTGATCATATCACTTTCATATTTATATTGATTAAGCCACAGCAATTACTGATTTTACTCCATCAAGTAGCCATTTTCTTAGAAAAGTCTCCTCTCCATGAATAAATGAAACATTTTTACCATGAAACAATTAAATATGAGACTTGGGGACTATTATTTTTAGCTTAGAAGAATTGTCTATCTGGCTTTTTGAACTTTAAGAAGCATTATCACAGGCTGCTGTGGAAATAGCAGATGTCACAGATAAGAAGAAACTCTTTAAGTCAGGTGTCACAGAAAGAGCAGGTGTGCCCTCCAGGAAAAAAATTTTGTTTTCATGCAGTTATCTTTTTTAATGAAAATAAATGAAGGAGAAAAACTCACAAGAGCATATCAACATCAGCATCTTCTTTTTCCATCTCCCAAACATTTTCCCCTGAAACTAAAGCAGCTCTTTAACCTCTTCAATTCTTGAATCATCTACTAAGTAAGCACTCATCACGATAAGTACTGAAATCTGAAAAGAATCTTACTGATTGAGTTTCAAAAGCAGCCATTCAACCTCATAAGAGTAACTTCTTTTTAATTAAGAACAGAACAGTAGGTAGATTACAAGAAGATGGTAGAACAGATAAAAGAAGGCATTATAAATGCAAAGAGAATCTTAGATAATAGATGTGAGAAGGCATTCTAAATATACTGCCCTCAAATGCATTTTATGTTATAATTTAAGAGATCAGATGGGGAGAAAATCAGAACATTATAGTCCAGAATAACAAATTAAGATACTTAGATCAGAGAAGAGGCTGAAGTATTTCATAATTGTACTCTTACTCCATTTACAGAGAAAAGAACAATGGGAAAATTGCAGTGGTTTGGAGAAAAGTGTAAAAACAGTAGATTCCTTGGAAACCAGTTGGCTAATACTGAGAAATTTAAGTGTCATAACCCAATGAGTCTAATTTGTGAGTGGTGTGAGTTGTAAAGTGTTGAGGATTAAACTCTTCATTTGTTCTGCGCATGTTAAATAACCTCACCTTTCCTCATTTCTTCTCCCATCAAGAATTCTTTCTCTCTTTCTACAACACTTACTTATATTCTATCATTCTTCATCTTCTACCTCATCTCTTAATACTCATCCTTCTTTTTTCAGTCAATGGTGTCAAAAGAAAAGAGAGGGACAATTAAAAGGAGTCAGTGTGTCACCCACTGGATGCTTCCAGTAGGTATTTTAAATAAACAAAATACACTTCAGGTTGGACCTGAAGAGTAGCATATATGTTTTTAAAAATATAAACCTGTAAGTTTTAGATTCTTAAGGATTATGGAAGTTAGAAAAAAAGAAAGGATGTCTAGAGTGATTAGGAAACACCAATGGAAGACGATGGACTTAAACTTTGTTTTGAAAAGTAGGGAAGACAAGTGGGAAGCGGAGGGACAGGAGGGCAAATCAAGGAAGTAGAAGATCAAAGGCATAATGATAGGAGTACCAGGTATTCTTAGAAGGAAGCCTAGGCTGAACTTTCAAAAATGTAAATCAGATCATGACCCTCCTCTGCTTAAAAACCTTAAATGATTTTTCATTGTAAATAGAATAGAATACAAATTACTTCTATGACCCTCAAGATCCTATATGATCTAGTTGATGTAGGTCCTACCCACTGCTGAGATATCATCTCCTACTATTTTCTTGCTTGTTCATTCCAATGCAGTCATTAGCCTTTTTATAAAAAAATATTGATTTGTTTGACACATTGTAATTTTACATATTTATAAGATATGTTTGTTGTTCTTGATGTTTCAATACATACCTATGTTGTGTAATAATCGAATCAGGGTAGTTTGTGTATTTATCACTTCATGCATTATTTATTTATTTGTGGTGAGAACCTTCAGAAGCCTCTCTTTTAGCTATTTTTTAATATACAATATTTTTACTCTTTTTTTTTTTTTTTTTTTTTTTTTTTTTGAGACGGAGTCTCGCTCTGTCGCCCAGGCTGGAGTGCAGTGGCGGGATCTCGGCTCACTGCAAGCTCCGCCTCCCGGGTTCACGCCATTCTCCTGCCTCAGCCTCCCAAGTAGCTGGGACTACAGGCGCCTGCCACTACGCCCGGCTAATTTTTTGTATTTTTAGTAGAGACGGGGTTTCACCGTTTTAGCCGGGATGGTCTCGATCTCCTGACCTCGTGATCCGCCCGCCTCGGCCTCCCAAAGTGCTGGGATTACAGGCGTGAGCCACCGCGCCCGGCCAATATTTTTACTCTTAACCATAGCAACCCTACTGTGAAGTAAAACACTAGAAATTATTCCTCCAATCTAATTATAACTTTGTAGCTGTTGAACCAGCTTTCCCTGTCTTCCTCTCTCCCCTCTCTTCCCCACCTCTGGTAACCACTGTTCTACTATCTGTTTCTATGATATCAACTTTTTCTTTTTTCTTCTTTTCTAGATTCTACATATAAGTGAGATCATGCAGTATTTGTCTTTCTGTGTCTGGCTTTTTTCGCTTAACATGGTGTACTCCATATTCATCCACATTGTCAAAAATGACAGAATTTCATTCTTTTTATGGATGAACAGTATTCCACTGTGTATATATACCATGTTTTCTTTATCCATTCACCCATTAATAGACACTTAGGTTGATTCCATATCTTGGCTATTGTGAATAGTGTTACAATAAACATAGAATGGGCGACTGTGCAGCTATCTCTTGGACATAATGATTTCATTTTCTTTGGATATCTATCCAGTAGTAGGATTCTTGGATCATATGGTAGTTCTACTTTTAATTTTTTGAGCAACCTCTGTACTCTTATGTAATGGCTGTACAAGTCTACAATCCTGCCAAAAGTGTGTAAGTTTTCCCTTTTCTCCACATTCTTGCCAATAATTCTTTTATTTTGTCTTTTTGATAATGATCATTCTAACTAGGATGATGTAATAACTCATTTTTGTTTGCATTTCACTGATGATTAATTATGCTGAACAATTTTCACATACCTGTCAGCCATTTGCATGTCTTTTGATAAGCACCTAGTAAGTTTTTTTTTTTTTTTTTTGCCCATTTTCCAATCAGGTTATTTGGTTTATTTTCCCTTGAGTTGTTTAAGTACCATATATATTTTGGATATTAATTCCTTGCCAGATGTATAGTTTGCAGATATTTTCTCCGATTCTGTAAGTTGTCTCTTCACCCTGTTGATAGTTTCCCTTACTGTTCAAAAGTTTTTTAGTTTGATGTAATTCCATTCATCTATTTTTGTACTTGTCACCTGTGCTTTTGAGGTCTTATTTTGAAAAATCCTTCCCAGCCCAATGTTGTGAATCATTTTCCTTATTTTTTCTAGTAGTTTAATAGTTTAAGGTTTTACATTTAACTCTTTTTTTTTTTTTTTTAAGACAGAGTTTCACTCTTGTCACCCAGGCTGGAGTGCAATGGCACCATCTCGGCTCACCACAAGTTCCGCCCCCTGGGTTCAAGCGATTCTCCTGCCTCAGTCTCCCAAGTAGCTGGGACTACAGGCGTGTGCCACCACGTCCAGCTAATTTTTGTATTTTTAGTAGATACGGGGTTTCACCATCTTGGCTAGGCTGGTCTCGAACTCCTGACCTCATGATCCACCTGCCTCAGCCTCCCAAAGTGCTGGGATTACAGGCATGAGCCCCCGCGCCCGGCACATTTAACTCTTTAATCATTTTGAGTTGATTTCTGTATATGGTCAGAGTTAGGGGTCTAATGTCATCCTTCTGCATGTGGTTATATAATTTTCCCAGCATCATTTATGGAAAAGACTGTCTTTTCCCCAATGTGTATTCCTGACAAGTTTGTTGAAAATCAATTGGCTAACTGAGCTTCATAAGTGAAATAGAAATAAGATCCTTTTGAGACAAGCAAATGCTGAAAGAAATTGTTACTGCAAGAATTGCCTTACAAGAGCTCCTGAAAGGTATAGTGAACATGGGAAGGAAAGACCATAACCAACCAATATACAAACACACTTAGGTACACAGACCAGTGACACTATAAAGCAACCATACAAACAAGTCTGCCTAATAACCAGTTAACATCATAATGGCAGAATCAAATCCACACATATCAATACTAACCTTTAATGTAAACAAGCTAAATGTCTCCCAGTGAAAAGGAACAGTGTGGCAAGCTGGATAAAGAAGCAATACGCAATGATATGCCATCTTTAAGATACCCATCTCACATGCAACGACATCCCCAGGCTGAAATTAAAGGAATGGAAAAAAATCTACTAAGCAAATAGAAATCAGAAAAAAGCAGGAGTTGCAATCCTAATTACAGACAAAACAGACTTTAAACCAACAAAGATTTAAAAAGACAAACAAGGCATTACATAATGGTAAAGGGTTCAATTCAACAAGAAGAGCTAACTATCCTAAATATATATGTACTCAATACAGAAACACTCAGATTCTTAAAGCAAGTTCATAGAGACCTATGAAGAGATTTAGACTACTATAAAATAATAGTGGGAAGTTTCAACACTCCACTGACAGTATTAGACAGATTCTTGAGGTAAAAAATTAACAGGTATTCAGGACCTGAACTCAACACTTGACAAAATGGACCTAATAAACATCTGCAGAACCCTCCATCCTAAAACAACAGAATATACATTCTTCTCATCACCACATGGCACATACTCTAAAATATACCACACAATTGGACGTAAAACAATTCTCAGCTAATTCAAAAACAAAAACAAAAAAACACAAAATCATACCAACCACACTCTTGGACCAGAACAGAATAAAAATAGAATTCAATACAAAGAAATTTTCTCAAAGCCACATATTTACATATAATTCAAACAACCTGTTCTGGAATGACTTTTGGGCAAATAATGAAATTAAGGAGAAAATAAAGAAGTTCTTTGAAACTAATTAGAATGAAGTTACCACATACCAGAATCTCTGGGACACAGCTAAGGCAGTGTTAAGAGGGAAATTTATAGCACTAAATGCCCACATCCCAAAGTTAGAATGATCTCAAATTAACAACCTAACATAACAACTAGAAAAACCAGATAACCAAGGGCAAACCAACCTCAGAGCTAGCAGAAGACAAGAAGTAACCAAAATCAGAGCTAAACTGAAGAAGATTGAGACATGAAAAACCATTCAAAACATCAATGAATCCAGGAGTTTTTCTTTGAAAAATCGAGTAAGATAGACCACTAGTTAGACTAATAAAGACAAGAGAGAAGATCCAAACAAACACAATTAGAAATGACAAAGGGGACATTACCACAGAAATACAAATAATAAAGACTACTATGGATACTTCAGTATAAGGACTACTATGGATACCTAGTTTGTGTGGATATGCACACAAACTAGACAAACTAGAATAAATAAATTCCTGGAAATATGCACCTTCCCAAGACTGAATCAGGAAGAAATTGAATCCCTGAACAGACCAATAATAAGTTCTGAAATTGAGGCAGTAATAAATAGCCTACCAACAAGAAAAGGTACAGGAACAGAAGGATTCATAGCCAAATTCAACCACATGTACAATAAAGAGCTGGTACCATTCCTTCTGAAACTGTTCCACAAAATTGAAGAGGAGAAATTTCTTCCCAACTCATTCTGAGGCCAGCATTATCCTAATATCAAAACCCGCCACAGACACAACAAAAAAATAAGACTTCAGGCCAATATCCTTGATGAACATGAACACAAAGATACTCAACAAAACACTAGCAAACTGCATCCAACAGCACATCAAAAAGCTAATCCACCGTGATTAAATAGGCCTTATCTCTGAGATGCAAGGCAGGTTCAACACATGCAAATCAATAAATGTGATTCATCACATAAACAGAATTAAAGACAAAAACCACCTGATTACCTCAATATATGCAGAAATAGCTTTTGATAAAATACAACATTCTTTCATGTTAAAAACCCTCAATAAACTAGTTATTGAAGGAACATATTTCAAAATAAGAAGAGCCATTTATGAGAAACACACAGCCAGCATTATACTGAATAGACAAAAGCTGGAAGCATTCCCCTTGAAAACCAGCCCAAGACAAGGATGCCCTTTCTCACCACTACTACTCAATATAGTATTGGAAGTTCTAGTCAGAGTGATCAGGCAAGAGAAAGAAATAAAGGGCATCCAAATAGGAAGAGAAGAAGTCTAACTATCCATGTTTGCCTATGACATGATTCAGTATCTCAAAAACCGCATAGTCTCACCTGAAAAGCTCCTTCAGCTAATATCTTCAGCAAAGTTTCAGGATACAAAATCAATATAAAAAATTAGTAGAATTTCTATAAACTGACAACATCCAAGCTGAGAGCCAAATCAGGAATGTGATCCCATTCACAACTGCCACAAGAAGAATAAAATACCTAGGCATACAGCTAACCAGGGAAGTCAAAGATCTTTACCACAAGAATGACAAAACACTGCTCAAGGAAATCAGAGATGGCACAAATGAATGGAAAGACATTCCATGTTGATGGATAGGAAGAATATTGTTAAAATGGCCATATCACTCCAAGCAATTTACAGATTCAATGCTACTGCTATCAAACTACCAATGACATTCTTCCCAGAACTGCAAATATCTATTTTAAAATTCATATGAAACCAAAAAGAGCCTAAATAGCCACGTTAATCCTAACCAAAAAGAACAAAGATGGAAGTATCACATTACCCGACTTAAAACTATACTACCGGGACACAGTAACCAAAACAACATGGTACTGGTACAAAAACAGATACATAGACCAATGGAACAGAAATGACAGACCAGAAATAATGCCACACACCCACAACCATGAGATCTCCAACAAAACTGACAAAAACAAGCAATGGGGAAAGGACTCCCTATTCAATAAATGGTGCTGGGATAAATGGCTAGCCATATACAAAAGATTGAAACTGGACCTCTTCCTTACATCATATACAAAAATCAACTCAAGATGATTAAAGACTTAAATGTAAAACACAAAACTATAAAATCCTTGGAAGACAGCCTAGGAAATATCATTTTGGACATAAGAAATGACGAAGGTCTCATGATTAAGACGCCAAAAGTAATTGCAACAAAAGCAAAAATTGGCAAATGGGATCTAATTAAACTAAATAGCTTCTGTACAGTAAAAGAATCTATCAACAGAGTAGACAGACAACCTACAGAATGGGAGAATATATTTGCAAACTATGTATCTGATAAAAGTCTAATATCCCTATAAGGAACTTAAACACACTTATAAGCAAAAAACAACTCCATTAAAAAGTGGGCAAAGTACATGAACAGACACTTTTCAAAAGAAGACATATATCCATCCAACAATCATAAGAAAAAAAGCCCACTATCACTGATTATTGAAGAAATGCAAATCAAAACCGCAATCATATACCATCTAACCCCAGTCAGAATGGCTACTATTAAAAAGTTGAAAAAAAAAAAACAGATGCTGGCAAGGTTGTGGAGGAAAAAGAATGCTTATACACAGTTAGGGGGAGTGTAAATTAGTTCAACCATTGTGGAAAGTAGTGTAGTGGTTCCTCAAAGACATAAAAACTGAAGTACCATTTAATCCAGGAATCTCAATACTGAGTATATACCCAAAGAAGTATAAATCATTCTACCATAAAGACACATGCACACATATGTTCATTACAGCACCAATTACAATAGCAAAACTGTGGAAATCAACCTAAATGCCCATCAACGGTAGGCTGGATAAAGAAAATGTGCTATATATACACCATGGAATACTATGTATCCATAAAAAAGAATGAGATCATGTCCTTTGAACATGGATGGAGCTGGAGGTCATTATCCTTAGTGAACTCAGGCAGGAACAGAAAACCAAATATCACATGTTCTCACTTATAAATGGGAGCTAAATAATGAGAACCAATGGGTACAAAGAGGGGAACAACAGACACCGGGGCCTACTTAAGGAAGGAGAGTAGGAGGAAGCAGAGGATCAGCAAAAATAACTATATGTACTATGCTTAGCACACAGGTGACAAAATAATCTGTACAACAAACCCCCACGACACAAGTTTTCATATATAACAAACCTGCACATGTACTCCTGAAAGTATAATAAAAATTAAAAAAGAAAATCATTTGGCTGTAGGTACGTTAATTTATTTCTGGGCTTTCTATTTTGTTTCATTGGTTTATGTATCTGTTTTTATGTCAGTACTATACTGTTTTGTTTACTATAGCTTTGTTGTATATTTTGAAGTCAAGTACCATGCTGCTTTGAGCTTTGTTCCTTTTGCTCAGGATTGTTTTGGCTATTTCAGGGTCTTTTGTGGTTCTATATAAATTTTAGGACTTTTTTTCTATTTCTGTAAATAATGTTATTGAATGTTCTGATAGGGATTGCATTAAACTATGTATTATGTTGGGTAGTATGGCCATTTCTATAATATTAATTTTCCAATCCATGAATACAGGATATTTGTGTCCTCTTCCATTTCTTTTATTATTAAAGTTTTAAATGTAGAGATCTTCTCCCTCCTTGGTTAAGTTTATTTCTAGGTATCTTATTTTTTTGTAGCTATTAAAAACATAATTTTTTGACTTCTTTTTGAGGTAGTTAGCAATTAGTGTATAGAAACACTGCTGATTTATGTATGCTGATTTTGTATTCTGCAACTTTCCTCAATTTGTTAGTTACTTTGAACAGTTTTTTCGTGAAGGTTTTAGGGTTTCCTTTATATAAAATCATGTCATCTGCAAATGGACAACTTGACGCCCTCCTTTCCAATTTAGATGCCTTTTATTTCTTTCTTTTGCCTAAATGTTCTGGCTAGGACTTCCAGTACTCTGTTGAATAAAAGTGGTGAGAGTGCGAATCCTTGTCTTGTCTCTGACCTTAGGGGAAAAACTTTCAGATTTCCCATTCAGTATGCTGTTACCTGTGGAATTCTTATATATAGCCTTCATTGTGTTGAGGTATATACCTTCTATACCCATTTTATTGAGAGTTTTTATCATGAGGGATGTTAAACTTTGTCAAATACTTTTTCTGTACCTATTGAAATGATCATATGTGGCTTTTGTCTTCCTGTTAATGTGGTGTATCACATTTATTGGTTTCCATATGTTAAATCATACTTGCATCCCTGTGATGAATTTCACTTGATTACATGAGTGATCTTTTTAATATGCTGTTAAATTCATTTTACTAGTTTTCTGAAAATTTTTGCATCTATGTTCATCTAAAATATTGGCCTGCAGTTGTGTTTCTTTTTTTTCAGGTTGTGTCCTTGTCCAGTTTTAGAGTTGGGGTAATGCTGAACTTAAAATGTGTTTGGAAGTATTCTCTTCTCTTTGGTTTTCTGGAATACTTTGGTAAGAATTGGTATTAGTTCTTTAAGTGTTTGGTAAACTTCAGCAGTTAATCCATCAGGCCCTGGGATTTTCTTTGATGGAAGACTTTTTCTTACTGATTCAATTTCGTTACTCATTATTGGTCTGTTCAGATTTTCCATTTTTTCATAATTTAATCTTAAGGTTATATGTGTCCAGCAATTTGTCCCTTTCTTCTGTTACCAAATTTGATGGTACACAGTTGTTCATAAGTCAGAATTCTTTGTATTTTGCATATTTTACTGTAATGTCTTTTTTCTTTCATCTCTGATTTTATTTATTTGAGTATTTTCTCTGACCTTTCATTTTCTGGGCAACACCAAGTTGTTTCCACTTTAAGGTTATGTACTAGACTTTTCCTCTTACTGGAATGCTCTTGCTTCCACCCATCTTTGCATGCCTGGCTTCTTGATATGCTTTAAGTCTCCTTCCAAATATTACCTCCTATGTAAGCCTTCTACCATTTCTTCCAGTTTCACTCTATCCCATTAATCTTACTTTCTTCTTAGCAGTTATCATGATTAAAATTGAGTAGCTTGTATCATAGTGTTGAACAGTGTCTCCTTCATCACTCCAAATTCATGTAGAAGATGGGCAGGAGAGAACAGATCTTTTTATCTTGCCCAGTGTTGTATCTCTAGCATTTGCCCAGGTTCTAGCTTGGTGCAATAGCTAGTCTGTGAACAGTTTGTTGCCAGTTTGCTAAAAGATAAACCAACACAGAGCTTTCTACTAAAAAAAATATATATATATCAGCTAAACTAAACAGTATGCCTAGTGACTTAGTTGATTTATATTCTGACAAACTTCTTTTCTGCCTATGGACTTCTAATAGTTTCTGGAATGCTATGGTCCACCGACTGTACCTTGAGTAGCGTTGACCTCATTTCTAAGAGGGGCTGGAAGATTTTATTTCAGTAAAAGCTAAAAGATAACAAAATGTGAGGGATTTAATAAAATATTTGATAGTTTTAGTAGATTGTTTATATTTCAAGTATTACAATCAGTGATAATTTGTTAGTAAAAAAATTGCTTGTACTTAGCTTGTGAGAAGTAGGGTGGTGTCATCAGAAAAGTCTACTAATAGCCATTAAGGCCAGGTGAGAATAGAGTGTGAGAGAAAAGGCCAACCCACTGAAGCAGTAGATAAAGCTTAATACCAGAAGTCCTATTAGAAGGTAGGACAGACATGGGAATATTCTAATGACAACTAGGGAGAATGTTATTTTGTTTTCCCACAAGAGATCAGCATACTGTATTCCAAACAGAAAAAAGAACTCCAAACTGAAAGAGGTTAGTGGGCTTGAAAAACACCAACCTACACCTCAATAATCAGAGGCGGTGAAGATTTCCATAAAGGAAAATAAAAGTTTAAGATTCCAATAAATCGGCCGGGCCCGGTGGCCACGCCTGTAATCCCACCACTTTGGGAGGCCGAGGCAGGCAGATCACGAGGTCAGGAGATCGCGACCACCCTGGCTAACACAGTGAAACCCCGTGTCTACTAAAAATGCAAAAAAATTAGCTGGGCATGGTGGCGGGCACCTGTAGTCCCAGCTACTTGAGAGGCTGAGGCAGGAGAATGGCGTGAACCCAGGAGGCGGAGCTTGCAGTGAGCCGAGATCGGACCACTGCACTCCAGCCTAGGCGAAAGAGTGGAACTCTCTGTCTGAAAAAAAAAAAAAAAAAAAAAAAAAAAAAAAAAAAAAAAAGATTCCAATAAATCATTAAAATACAATTGTTACAATAACTTACATTTGTGGAGTACTGCCAATGTACTAGATACTGTGGCACATCCATTATGTCAATGAATTTCCTCAGTAATTCTTTAGGGCAGATACATCTGTTACTCACTTTAACTGAGGCTTAAACATGTATTAAGTGGCAGAATCAGTACTTAAACACAAAAAGTCTTAAATGGGAGTCTATGCTCTTAAAATTTATGCATACGGCCTTCCTGTGTAAGAAGCTTAACCCCAAATATTCACAGATAGATAGATAGATAGATAGATAGATAGATAGATAGATAGACAGACAGATAGATATAGATATAGATATAGATATAGATATAGATATAGATATAGATATGTCTAGAAGGAACCTAGACAGATATTCTAAACACCAGGTCTTGGGTGAGATACGAGATTGAATATAGAGTGATAAGTGCTGAAAAATAGCTTTTTACCAGAAGACCCTCAAAGCCTAAATGTCTGTAATTAGGAATTCTTTTCTTTGGATCTTGAAAGCTTTTCCTATTACTAAGATCTCATAATAACAAGGGAGAAATAAAAAGTTCTGAAACTTGCCTCCTACTGTATCAGAATCCCTGAATTTCTGAATCTGCATTTTTCAAAAGCTCCACATGTGATTCTGATGAACAGACAAGTTTGGAAACCATTGCCTCAAGCTAACCTTTATGAAGAAATGGTTGGAAGTTTGCTCAGTGACAGAATGATGGTGTTTGGACAGTGAGAAAAGGGTAGGAAAAAACAAAGCATTAAATAGAAACAACATGATTTTTCTTTCCCAAGAGAAATTTTTTTTTTTAACACTTTCTTACTCCTTTCAGGGCTCTGAGGGACTTTGAAGCAAATTGACCCAATGTACTAAATAGAATAGTAATTGCATATTCGACAGGTGTTAGTGTGTCTCTTGGAGGAACAGGTGTCCTGGGGATAGAAAGCTCAGATGAATACGATATCATCCTTTGGACAGACAGCTGGAAGTCAACGGTAAGCGTCACTACATGTGGAACAGCATAAACAACGTCCTGTGCTAAAGTGAAGGGACATGGCTTTCCCAGTAAGTTCTTTATTTCAAAATCACATATATTAGGGACTTTTTGTTTTCTAATGATGAATCGATATTCTGCCTGCTATTTTGGGATGTCACTCTGACTCTTGCTCTCATACAATAGAAAAATGGAACTACATAGCAGGAATCCTTGGAAGATTGTATTAGTCTGTTTTCGCACTGCTATAAAGAACTACCTGAGACTAGGTAATTTATGAAGAAAAGATGTTTAATTGACTCACAGTTCTGCAGGCTTAAGAGGAAGCATGACTAAAAGGTCTCAGGAAACTTACAATCTGGTGGAAGGCAAAGGGGAAGCAAGGACCTTGAACTTCTTTACATAGTGGCAAGAGAGAGATAGTCGGGTGAACTGCCACACACTTTTAAAGCATCAAATCTCATGAGAACTCCCCTACAATCATGAGAACATGGAGAAAACCACCCCCATGATCCAATCACCTCCACAAGGTCCCTCCCCTGACATGTGGGGGTTACAATTCAACACGAGATTTGGGTGGTGTATTAGTCTGTTCTCACATTGCTATAAGGAAATACCCGAGAATGGATAACTTATAAAGACAAGAGGTTTAATTGACTCACAGTTCTGCATGGCTGGGAAGGACTCAGGAAACTTAGAATCAAGGTGGAAAGCGAAGGGGAAGAAAGGCACCTTCTTCACAGGGTGGAAAGATGGAGTGAGTACAAGCAGGGGAAACGCCAGATGCTTATAAAACCATCAGATCTCATGAGACTCACTAGCCATAGAGACAACAGCATGGAGAAACTGCCCCCATGATCCAATTACCTCCACCCTTGGTCCCACCCTTGGCATGTAAAGATTATGAGGATTACAATTTAACATGAGATTTTGGGTGAAGACACAGCCAAATCATATCAAACATAAACCAATACTGGGAAAATCTCAGCCAGTAGGTCTCAAATTGAGGTTCAGCTTCATGTTCTTCTCTACGCCCATTTGTGGCCCTGAATAAAGCTGAATTTTTTTTTTTTTTTTTTTTTTTTTTTAGATGGAGTCTCAGTCTGTCACCAGGCTGGAGTGCAGTGGTGTGATCTCAGCTCGCTGCAACCTCTGCCTACTGGGTTCAAGTGATTCTCCTGCCTCAGCCTCCTGAGTAGCTGGGACTAAAAGCCCCCGCCACCACGCCTGGCTAATTGTTGTATTTTTAGTAGAAATGAGGTTTCACCATATTGATCAGGCTGGTTTCAAACTCCTGACCTTGTGATCTGCCCACCTTGGCCTCCCAAAGTGCTGGGATTACGAGCGTGAGCCACTGCACCTAGCCAGAGTACAGCTGAGTTTCTATCAACCTATGTCCATTGGTCTTGTATATCTGTTAAAATGTGCCATGAGACTCATAATGCCTTATCTAATATTGCCAATATCCATTGTATTCAACTATTGTTTGAGTTAATTTAATCTAAAAGAATTCAGGAGAAGCAGCAAGACTACTTTAAGTCCACATTATAACAAAATATGAATTATCCTTTATCTGTAGCTCTGAATGCAGTGCACAACATACAGGTTTATTTGTATCAGTAGATAATGGTGATGCTAATAACACTTCATATTTGACATAAGTGAATCCTAAATGGAATAACACTTCATATTTGACCTAAGTGAATCCTAAATGGAGTCTTAGAGAAAAAGTGGAAATATCTATATTTTTTACTTGAGTTTAAGAGTATTTACACAAAATTTATTCATTACTTAACTCATAAATATGAAAGTAGGAACAAGAGGAAGCTTATGCCAGATGTTTGCCTAGGATTGGCATATATTTATTGGAAGATTATGAGAGTTATTGAGAGCAAGTCTAGCTATTATCTGTTTAATTTTTTAAAAGTATATTTATCAGAGAAGTTTACTTGACTTAGAAGTTTTAAAAATGTCATTATTTGCACAGTACATGCAAGCAAGAAGATTTAACTGTCAATAGTTGCTAAGAAAGTGTAACATTAGGTTATACAAGTATGGGGGAAATAAAGACATTTTCATTCATTAAATGTGTGTACTATCATGTTGCACGATATTGAATGTATGAAAGGTGAGATTCATAATAATTAGCATGGGTTAAATTCAGACATTTATATTTGGTGCCAAAAAAAATTGTATACTTACATGATATCCATGTGCCCATTCTGTGCTTTCAGCAAAATGATGAGAAAAATACATCTAGTTAATTTATTTTAGAATAATTTATATATTTGCTTCATTATAGGTGAGAAAGTAGAGGAGAATACATTCCCCAAATGAGAAGACTGAGGAAAAATAATAACTATTTGTAAACCTGAAATTTGTTTGAGGTTTGGCGCAAGTGCAAGATAGAGTTTAAGGTCATTTCTTATTTCATCTAAATAAATCTTCTTAGGCTGGATGATATATTAAGGGGATATAATCTATAAAATGTTTTAAATCACTTAACTCTATGTCACCTGGATGCATTTACTGTGGCTGGAAGGCTCTGTTCAGGAAATGAAGGTTTCTAAATTGTGACTGTTTTTATCAGGGGGTGAATCTTTCCGAAGAGAGAAGATTGGGGATGTGAGAAAAGGTCCTGGCCAGCAGCAATAGCAGACTGTGTCACACTGCCAGCAGCAGCAGCAGGGGAATAAAATCTAAAAATGAAATGTGCTTTTTGAAGGATGCATCCTCTTTGTCTTTTCCCCAGATGTACTCTCTTCCCATTGGTTTACCATATTCTCTTGGCTTGGATGACCACAGTGAGGATGAGACATAGAAAGGAAAACTAAGTCTTTGAGCGAGTTAATAAAATGCTTAATTATTAGTGATATGTAATGTTTCCATTCTTATTGCTTTATATAGAATTTCAGGAAAGATTTTGGAGTCGATAGATCTCTGATCCTTGCATCTGATTTCTGCCTAAGCAGACATCTCTCCCAGAACCTATTTGGGAGCAAGGAGAGAAATGGAGTCAAAGGTGAAAGCTAGCATGAAGATGATTTATTCCAGTAAAACTTGGGCAATGCATCCCCGTCACCATGTCAGCTGTCAAAAATGCCACCGGCCTTTTATTTAGATGTTTGAGTACTTACTCCTAAAAATCATCAGTCTTTAGAATTGGCACTTTAATTAAAACCTAGAGGGAAGTGGTTGGTATGAATTTGTGCACGGGTTTAAGTGTATATGTGTGAATATGTGCACTTATATGCTTTTGGAGTTTCTGTTTGTGCATGTATGTTAATATATTTTTCATATGTATACACTTACTAGTCTCTTTATACTTTATGCACTTAGGGTTTATTTAAAGCCGTATTTGTGGTTTTGAGAAACCTATTTATAATCACACTGAGATACAGATACATCAAAAATTGTAATAAGTGAATGTATTCTTTGAAGGAGACCTATTGTAAATACCGTAAAAAACAAATATTTATTCTAAAAACAAATATTTATTTCTAAGCTATATTCTAAAATATATCCACTGCAAAAACCACAAATTTTTATTCTAAAGGTAGGTTATTCTGGATAATCTAACTTTTTGTAATTCTTATGCTTTTTTTTGGTAATATTTTAAGTTTTAAACAAGAAACCTGTGTATGACAGTACTGACTATGGTCAGGCAAAACACAGTTAGATCTGAGGATGCTCTCAAATGGCCCAGTGTCTAGGAAACCAATGTCTTAAGTCTCTACCTTTGTGAGAACTCTGGTTAGATTTTCCACACAGAGCTTAGCAAGATGATAATATTTCTGATTTCCTTCTCATCTTCCTTATTAGTGGCACTCTTCATTTTGGGCCTGAGTCACTCTCTTCTGCTATCCCCTGGATAACTAGTCAGACCCCTCCCATCTGGCACTCAAATGGGTACACTCTTTTCTAAGAGGAACTTCTCTCTATAAACCCCAAACTCCATGATAAATTTCCTGTCAAGGAATTGTCTTTAGCTAATATCCATGTTGAATAATGCTAATCACTGTAAAAGTCTGATGAAATATTACAAGGGGAATTTCCTTAGTTAGGGCGAAGCCATGACCGAGACAAGTGATTGTCTAAAGGAATGTCAGATTTCAGCAACATGGTCAGTGAGACACATAAAGAGAAAAAAAACCAAGCTCTTTTTCTCCAAAGAGCTCACACTCTGGGTTATCTTTCCACAGTGCAAAGAAGTATGTGATGTTTTTGCAACAGTGCAAAAAAGTACGTGATTGTCAAGACTGTATTCTAATTTACATAAAGTGAAAGGCCAAGTTGAATATTTGTCCTGTTTAGTGTGAACACCATGAAAATTCATCCAGCAGGACCCCATGCCTGCTGTAAGGGACCCTCATTCAACAAGCCATAATTGCCTTCACAGATTGACCCCCAAAAAAACAATGATTCTAAAGAAGAAAATTCCAGGCCAGTTTTCTTGCATCAGTAACAAACAAAGAGGGATGTTATAATAGCTAAGAGAGGAATCATCTGCAATTAGGATCTTCTGGACAACAGAATATTACAAAGGTATATGATATTTTAGGAACAACATCAGTAAAAGTAACTCTGAACTGGCAATGAAATAACTGATGGTTCTGTTTTACTGTGTTGGCCTAGGCTGAATATAGAAAAAAATACATATGTATGTTATATTTCCAGAATCTCCATTCTTTGTCTCACAGGGATGGATTATATTTGGCAAGCTGTGGCATCTTGGCAACTGTCACCTCACATACAGATGGAGATAGGCATGGGTTGGTGAAGATAAAGTAGAGGGGCTGTGAGAATGGCTTGTGTGAAAGTGGGAGAGGACAAGTACTTTTCAGAGTCACAAGAGAATGAGGGGACACACCTTGTGTAAGAACAAGAAGAGACTATTGTAGGGGCTCTAATGTATTAATTTGCTAGGGCTGCCGTAACAAAATATTATACCACTGATATGGTGGCTTAAACAACAGAAATTAATGTTATCATGCTTCTGGAGGTTAGAAGTTCAAGACCAAAGTGCTGGCAGGGTTGGTTTCTTTTGTGGCCTCTCTCCTTGGCTTGCAGATGGCTGCCCTCTTGCTGCCTCCTCACATGGTTATCTCTATAAACACATGTTCCTGTTGTCTCTATGTCCTAATCTCTTCTTAACAAAAACACCAGACAGACTGGATTTGTGTCTCCCCTAATGGCTTTGTCTTAATTTAAGCACCTCTTTAAAGACCCTGTCTCTAAATACAGTCACATTATGATACTTGAGGTTAGCAATTTAACATACGAATTTTGGAAGGACACAAGTCAGCCTTAACACCCACATTACCATATACTACAACATGCTCCTGTCAAATCCAGAAATTAGCTTGGTCTTGGTTACTTACACAGGTGGTCAAAGCTCTGAGGCTGAGTTTTGTTTGTTTCTCTTTCAGCCTTTCAGCAATAATGGCTCCAGGCTGACATATCTGGGATATTATTCCATGTATTTGCTATTTCTACCCATTATGCTATCTCTACTTCTAGTTTTATTAAACAAATATTAATAGCTACCTCTGTAGTATATCTCTGTCCTCAAATGTTTTTGTCTGTTTGATATTTGGTTTAGATCAGGAATCACAAATTAAATCCCTACAGAGAATGAGTAGACAGCACAAATGATGAAATTGGCCCAGCATAGGCTAACAGGAGTGTTGAGATATATGGTGAACCAGAAATGAGAAAGCCCTGGCCCTTCTAAAGGGAGAAGTGCTGCTGATCTCTACTTGCTTGGAGCCATGTGGAAATTCTGGTAGTACTAGGTTTTCTGGTTTTTATAGTGAAGTTGGGAATACAGATTTTAATTGAATACTTATAATTTAAAATTTTTGAACTATTTCAAATAAAATACTGTGTTGGCCCTTAGTCTATATTCCCTCATAAAGATTGTGTCTTGCATCTACTAGAGATGCTGTTTCCGAGCCCATGGTCAATATAGAAATTCTCATTGAGAATAGGAAATACTAGAATAGGGTGTTCATTTGTAGAAGATAGAGACATTTCTATTTTCTAGGATTCACCTTAGATAAAGCACTATGTATATTTTTTTTTTCTTTTTTTTTTTTTTCTTTTGAGACAGGGTCTCACGGTCGCCCAGGCTGGAGTGCAGTGGCACCATCTTGGCTCACTGCAACCTCTGCCTCCTGGGCTCAAGTGATCCTCCCACCTCAGCCTCCCAAGTAGCTAGAACTAGAGACATGAGCCACCATGCCTGGCTAGTTTTTTATACTTTTTATAGAGATGGGGTTCTGCCATGTTGCCCAAGCTTGTCTTGAACTCCTAGACTCAGGTGATCCACCTGTCTCAGCCTCCCGAATTGCTGGGATTACAGGTGTGAGCCACTGCATCTCTGTGTGTTTCATTTAAAAAAAAAAATCTACTTAGAGTAAAAAGAAAACTACATGGACATTCTCAAGCAATAAAAATCTATTCACCTTAAATTATAAATTAGAAGACTAAGGAAGGCTAAGAGAAGAGAAGGACAGGAGAGGTTCAGCAGCAACAGGTGAGCCAGTGAGATACAGAAAGGTTGTATATCTCAGAAGGTGAGAAATAGTCCAAGCCACCACAATCAATCCAAAAGGCCTCATGGAAGTAAGAGTGCTTAAGCTGGGTTTAAATCATGAGTAGAAAAGTGACTTCTAATTTTAGGATGTGGTAAAGGCAGAAGCAGCATGATACATTTAGGGAATAGTGAGGACTAACTCTTAATTGAGAATGGAAACTATCCTTCTGTAAAGTTAAACCAATGGGCATTTGTAGTTTGGTGTCATTTCTGGTTGCATTTCCTAACCTTGAGATCTTTGCCTAATTAAGAAAATAGGTGAGAGAAGAACAGAACACTAAAAGAGAGTCTGTACAGAGTAGAAGTTCACAGGCGTTTTTTCTGTTAAGGACCATCATATAATCTCTGCAAGTGCTCAACTCTGTGGTAGCATGAAAGCAGCCATAGAGAAATGAGTGTGGTTGTGTCCCAATAACATTTTATTTACAAAAGAGGTAGTAGGCAAGACTTGATCTTGCCTCTAATCTGGAGGGAAAAGAGACACTGATGTAGGCTAAGAGGAGGAGAGCAAGGAAGAAGCATCCAGAGACAGAGGCCCTAAATAGTGCCAAACGCAACACTGAACACTTTCAAAATGACTAATATGTTTTTTGAAACTCTATGGAAGTGTAAGAAAGGAAGAAACCAGTATGGTAGGAAGATGATGGGTAGGTGATTTTTTTTTTTAATGCAGACAGAAATGACAGGCACTATATGGGAAAAATAAAATCCAAATGAAATGAGAGACCAAGCCTATCTGAGGAGGCCAAATGGAAGAAGAAAGCCAGAGCATGGAGGTCAGATCATTCAGAGACATATCAAACATTAGAACAGAGAGGATCCAATGGTAAAACAGTAGATGACGACACAAGCCCATTGCAATAAAAGGGCTCAAAAAGGGGATCTGAGCTCTTATTTTACTGGGGCTACTTCTTTGAACAAGGAACTCATCAACCTCATTAAGCAAGTCCTGTTTTTTCTTTCAGCAGCTGTCCCAAATTTCTTTCTTCATCTCTAGTCAACTATTCCAGCCCTGAGAGGCATCCAGGAAGATAAGAAATGATGAGGGACATGAGCCTCTGTTGGCGTTCCTGTGCAACTCCCTCAACACCAGGCCCACTTGCCATCCCTCTTTATTTCTGAAAGCTTTATTCCAGTGAGGTATGAATGATCCCATAGGCACAGTGTGGAGTCTACAGAGTATTAAGCCTTGCAGATGTCATTAAGGCAGTGTTCCCAGCTGAAGTAATGAATGCAGCCAGCAGGAGACCCAGAGAATTGAGTTTATTGAGGGGATTGTTGCAGTCTCATTATCTAGTTTAACAATTTGGGGATCACCAAATCACATATCATCATAACTCCCTTCTTGCCAATGTTTTCCCCTTCTCTTTCGAGACCTGCCACTGAATCATTTCACAGTATGCTTTAATGACAGTGGATATGGGATTCACTGTGGTTTTATAATAACGCTGCAGCTGCCAGGCTTGTCTAAAGAATTACAAGGTCTCTTTTTTCAAGCACAGTGAAATGAATATCCCATCAAAAATAACACCTTGGATTTTAAAAAAAAAGGTGCTTGGATACAACTTGCAAGAACTAAATTCTCTTTTAGTTTTTATTCTAGAGTAATTCCTAAGCCCTGAGACAATGCCCTTTGTGTGAAGCAGAATATGAGGTACTCACTGGCTTAGGGTAAAACTGACTGTACTTGTCTCCATCTTCCACAAGCCCAGCTGATATTTTATTAACATCCCTGTGCAGGCAGCACCTGGCTCAGTGCCTCGCACATAACAATTGCTCAGTAAGTGGGAGGCAGGTTGGAGGGATGAATAATTACAAATTTCCCTTGTGTTTCACAGGTCTTGGGAGGAAGCCGGTTAATGTCCTCTTCTCTTGTTATTTACTTTGCAAACTACCATTAGGATTCGGATGCGTTCCAGAGAAGGCTTTTTATTTAGCAACATGAGAACTAGGCAACCTACTTTTTTGTTCTCAAATTTGAACCATTGCTATGAAAATATTTTGAATTGATAGACAACTGGAGCTTGTTTTCTGTACACCCAGCTATAGGCTATCAACTTAAAACTTGAGACGTTTTTTTTAGTGAGGCTTGTTAATGTCTATTATGTGACCAGTCACAACTTTATAATTACATGAGGACCATCATGTGGTTGGATGTTTTCTTACACTGACAAGCAGATAGGCGCTTTTTGACCATACATTCTCCATGTTTCTCCATTGTCATCTCTCTGCTGTTTCTGCTGATAATTAAAACCTATGAAATTCATGACTAAATCCGATATTTAAATAATTTATTGTATGTTTTACAGACAAGCTGTATCCTTCACTTATTGAAGGTACAATTAAAAACACATAAAACTTTAATTCATATAATGTTTAATTGGTAGGTTTGAAGCCAATTATGGTACCAGTGTACTCTTTCCCCAGTTTTAATTCCTATATTAGTTTTCATTAAAAATGTTAAATTAAAAGAAATTGTCATTAAGTATCAGAGAAAGCTGTCACTGAACCTAGCAGGTGGTATCTGTTAACAAAGCTAAAATCACTTACGAAGATGCTTCCAATGGAATCATGTCTTGATAACTACTGTTAAGCAACAAGAATCCCATTGGCCCCAACACACACATCCTATGATATCCTATACTAAAAGCTACAGCACATATCCAAGCCAGAAAATTGGAAAGTCTTAAAAAATAAAAAAACATAATGAAATAAACATCAGTTAACAATTATATGACAATAAAATTGGCAACCTTTAAAAAAGACAAATGTGCCCTAAGACCCAGGATTACCCAGCTTAAAATTTTAAATGCTGTTTGGTAGTATCTTCCATATTCTTGGTTTTCTCTCTTTCCCAGAAGGTCTTTCCCATCTGAGAAAAAGTAAGGAAAAAAGTCAAGGCCATTAATAACATTGAACCCCTGGTCTGAAGCATAAAATTATCTCTGCCCCTTTCTGTTTCAGTATATCTCAAGAAAGGGCTATAATTACTATTAATAGCCTGAATCAAAGAAATTCTAAAAATTATAATTTTCTCTTTGTCTTATTCTTTTTCTCCAATTTCTATACTTTCTGTTCTTTGAGACACAGTCTCGCTGTGTTGACCAGGCTTTGATGCAGTGGTGCGATCTTGGCTCACTGCAAGCTCCGCCTCCCGGGTTCACGCCATTCTCCTGCCTCAGTCTCCCGAGTACCTGGGACTACAGGCGTCCGGCACCACGCCTGGCTAATTTTTTTTTATTTTTAGTAGAGACGGGGTTTCACCGTGTTAGCCAGGATGGTCTCGATCTCCTGACCTCATGATCTGCCCGCCTTGGCCTCCCAAAGTGCTGGGTTTACAGGCAGGAGACACCGCCCCTGGCCATCTGTACTTCTTTAATTAAACGCACTGAGTGGAAAAATATTTTGTACTGGAGGGTGAGGAAAGTTGCACAACCTTTACGGTGAGAATATTGAAAATTCTATTTCAGCTATTTTGAAATATAGATTATTGTTGATTATAGTTACCCTACTAATAGAACACCAGGACTTATCCCTCCTAACTGTATCTTTGTACCTGCTAACTTCTCATCCTTCTCCTCCCATCTCTCTCCAGCCTCTGGTAACCACTCTTCCACTTTACTTTTATGAAATCAACTTCTTAAGATTCCACATATGAATGAGGTCATGCAGTATTTATCCTTCCGTGCTTGGTTTATTTCACTTAACATAAAGACCTCCAGTTCCATCCATGTTTCTATAAGTGAAACTTTTCTTCTTATGGCTAAATAGTATTCAATTGTATATATATGCCACATTTCCTTTATTCTTTTATCCATTGGTCAACATTTAGATTTATTCCATATCTTGGCTATTTTGAAGAGTGCTGCAATAAACACAGAAATGCAGATATCTCTTCAATATATGGATTTTATTTCTTTGGATATACATACAGTAGTAGGATTGTCAGGGCCTATAATAGTTCTATTTAAATTTTGGAGAAGCCTCCATGCTATTGTCCATAATGGCTACACTAACTTACATGCCCAACAACAGGGTATAACAATTCCTTTCTCTCCACATTCTTGCTAGCATTTATTGTTTTTTGTCTTTTGGTAGCCATTTTAACTGGAGTGAGGTAACATCTCATTGTGATTTTGATTTGCATTTCCCTGATTGGTGATGTTGAGCATTTTTTCATATACCTACTGCCCATCTGTATGTCTTCTTTTGCAAAATGTCTATCAGATACATTGCCCAGTTTTAATTTGGTTGTTTTTTTTTTTTGCTATTGAGTTAATTCTTTATATATTCTGGTCATTAATTCCTTGTCAGATACATAGTTTGTGAATATTTTCTCTCATTCTGTAGGTTGGCCCTTCATTCTATTGTTTCCTTTGCTGTGCAGGAGTCTTTTTTGGATGTAATCCTATTTGTCTATTTTTCCTTTGGTGCCTGTGCTTTTGAGGCTTCATAAAAAAAAAATAAAAAAATAAAAAAACTTTGCCCAATCCAAAGTCATGAAGCATTTTACCTGTTTTATTCTAGTAGTCTCATAGTTTTGGGCTTTACATTTAAATCTTTAATTCATTGTAAGTTGATTTTTTGAAAGTGGTGAGAAATAGTGGTTCAGTTTCATTCTTTTGCATATGGATATCCTAGTTTCTCAGAGCCATTTATTGAAGGGACTGAATATGTTTTCCTGAATATGTGCTCTTGGAGCCTTTATTGAAAGTCATTTGGTTGTTCATGTGTGGATTTTTTTTTTTCCTGGATTATCTCTTTTTAGTACTTCCTGTACTCACTCAACACAGAGTCTCTAGAACCTCCTGATGAACCCATTTAAAATAGTTTTGGATCTATGAAGAGAACAGGGATTAGGATCCCTTAGTCTAAGCAGTGTGTGGTGTCCCTCAACTGGATCTGCTCTTCAATTTCCATGATAGCAAGTGCCCACCAGACTGGGGAATTGGAATAGATCTATACGTTTCTTTTCACTAAAATTCTGTATTGTATTCTGACTTTATGTATTATATAATAAAAAAAGGTTTAAAAATGAGACACCACATCACCCCTGCCATGACTTGACCTGGCCTACTACTTCTTAGACAAACAATCTGAATTTTGCTCTTAGTTGGACTTTTTGCTAATTATATGCCCTCTTGTTCTATTCCTTCATACTAACTTTGAAAATATATGTGCATTTTTGTTAGAATTGTTATTGGGTTTTACGTTGTGTGTGTGTGTGTGTATGTGTGTGTGTGTGGGTTGATCAATAAACTACGTAACTGAGGATGGAAAAACAGAAGTTTGCCCAAGTTTTGAATAGTCTTCCTCAACCGTATTTTTCTCCATAAGCACTGTTATTTTTAGGGATCAGTTTTGTGGATTCTAAGATTTTTCAGGAATGCATATATTGTGTTATGTTATGACTTGTAGTTTTAAAAAAGTCAAATAGTGCCAAAAGGCTTATAAAAATAGCTTTGGCTTTCTGTCTCAAAACTGTTAGAAACTCTTCTTTATCCCTAGCATTCTAAGATTTCATGATGTGCCTTTTTGTGGGGCTTTTTAAATTCATTTTGTTGGGCACTCAGTGGGTACTTTTTATCTGAAGTTACATGCTTTTCACTTTTGGACAATTTTCTTGTATGATTTCTTTGATAATTCTCCTCTCATTTTTTTTCTAGAACATCTATGAACACAGTGAAAATGGATGAAGATTTAAATGAAACTTCCTCAGTTATGTAATCCAAACTACAAAAATCGAAGTCAAGGGAGATGGATGCCAGGTGTTAGCCTAAGAGCTGGCATATATTTTTTGGAGTGCTGTGAGGTGTATTGCAAGTCTTGCCATTATTTGTTTACATTTTTCAAAAAGCTAAAAGTCGAAATAGCCAAAATAACTCAGACTATTTCAAAAGCTCATTATTTGCATAGTGTACTCATTTGAGCAAGAGGAAAGTCTGACTGCTAAGAGCTGCTAGGAAAGGATAAAAGTGAACTGTATGTGTAAAGAAGGGAATGAGAAAGTTGCACACAGGTAATAGGCTCTTTATCAGCCAGTGCTGCCATCCCTAGTTGCTGGGAATATAGGCTGATATATAACAATATCCCCTTTCCTAGACAATTTTCTGATCAACCAGGAGCTGCCTTTCCTCAGGGGCTATGCAACCACCTCTTGGAGTTCAGAATTTAGATGATGACTAACTGATATCAAGGTTTAAAGGCTGCTTGTGTCAAAGTGAGATTGATTCAGTGGTGCAATGTGTACTCTAGAGTTTTCACCATGAGACCAGACGTAAAGAAGCCTCTGAGACCAGATTCTTGTGCATGTTTTTCGTCTTGCCTATCCTGCATTCCTCAACTCTCCTGAAGGCTTTCCCTCATTCTGTCACTTGAACAAGAATCCCCTCCCAGGCTCTGCTTCCAAGGTACCTGACTTAAGACACAATTACACTTTTAAATTCGAAAAGCTATTTTTCCCCTCTGATTACTCTTGTTTATAGTGTCCTGTTCTTGTTACATGAATGTGATAATTTTAAAGGTCTTGTTCTGTTTCCTACATAGTTTCTATTTTCTTTTTATATGGTTGCTTTGATCTCTGTTTCACAATTAAGGGTTTCCTCAAATGACTCATGACTTTTGGCTAATCATTCCTATTTAAGGTAAAGATACCATAATTGGTTTAGAAGCTTTATTAGTCAGGTTCTCCAGAGAGACAAAATCAATAGGATAGTGTGAAAATCGTCAGAATAAAAATTGAGCCACTTGTGTTAATTCAAAATAAAACAAAACTCTGACAAATAGAGCCAGGGAAGGCTGTGAAGAGAGGGTTTTCATGTAATAACAAAACTAATAACAAAACACAAAAAACTCTGCAAAAACTACAACCTTGCACAAAGGTCACTGCAACCTTACATAAAAAAACACTTCTGTAAGTACATCCGCCCAGCAACTAACTGCCTGTCCAAACTTGAACTGAATTCATTCTTGCTATTGATCTTTATAATCATGGATAATAATTTTAAATCAATATATGATCCTTCTAATTTTTCCTTTAAAAGCCTTTGGCTTCCTTTGCCTCCTTGAATATGCACACAGTTTACCATGGCATGTATATTTCCACTGCAATGCCATACTCCCAAATAAATATCTTTTTATTTTAGAGAGCCTCTCTTTGCTTGTTAGATTCATGATAGACAGTAGAGAGATTGATAATAAATAGATGAGAGGAAACTTATTTGGGGAATTGGCTCATGCAATTATGGAGGCTGAGAAGTCCCACAGTAAGCCACCTGCAAGCTGGAGACCAAGTGAATCTGGTAGTGTGGCTCAGTCCAAGCCCCAAAGCATCAGAACCAGGGAAGCTAGTGATGTAACTCTCAGTTCAAGGTCAAAGACCTGAGAACCCAGGGGACACCTGGTGCAAGTCTCAGAGTCCAAAGGCAGGAGAACTTGGAGTTCTGATGTCTAAAGGCGGAAGAAAAAGGGGGTCCAGCTCCAGGAGAGGGAGTGTGTGAGCATATTCATCTTTCCTCTGCCTTTTTGTTCTATCTGGGTCCCCAGCTGATTGGATGTTATCTGTCCACGTTGAAGGTGGATCTTCCCCACCAAGTCCACTGACTCACAGTCCAATCTCCTCTAGAAACATCCTCACAGACACACCCAGAAATGATGCTTTATCACTATCTAGGTATCCCTTAGACTAGTTAAGTTGACATCTAAAATTAACCATCACAGAACCTCTGTGTGAATGGTGGACTCCTCTTTGGTGGACATTACTTGTAAGCAACTTTAAGCGGGCACTGGCTTATCACTAGGCATACCCAAATAGCTTATCTTTGGGGTGGTTCAGTTTCTCTGGAGAAGTGTTCCTTTTTTATTATCTAGGTTGTGGAAGCTCGATTGCCTGATAGGTATTCTGAAGGGTCTGGGTCAGGGGACAGCTTTCATTTTGTCCCCTTCTTACAGCCTAACTGCTTATCCTTGCCCATTTTAAGTATAATTGTCTCCAAAGCTTCTCTGGTTTCGTTTTTCTAGAAAACAGACCTACCGTCTCCTGGTAAGAGACAAAGTAGGTAAGGGGTAATCACAGGTCCAATTGTTATAGGAACTTTCTAATAAGCCCCTTACTTTTATAGCTTTATCCCTTTATGGCATCCTCCCAATAGCCTTGCTTTTTATTATCCTCATCAGCACACATTTGGTTAAAATAGATCTTTGTACAATATTTTATTTAACAAAAATTTATGTAGTGCTTACTATCTGCTAGTGCAGGTCTAAGCACTCTGCAAATATAACTCATTTCAATATCACAACAATCTATGAAATAATATTATCTTCATTTAACAAATGAGGTAACTGAGTACAGGGTAACTTGCCCAAGGTCGCATAGCTACTAAATGGCAGTACCATATTTTTTATTTCAGGAAATTTGGCCCTTAAATCTTTGTTCTTAGCTTGCTGTATTGTTCCTCTAATGTTGGCTCACTTGCCATTTTGCCAAAGCTTCATTATGATGTGGGGTTACAAACGTCTGAGTTTATTGAAGGGGGAATTTCTGTTTCCAATATTGTTCTGGGGTAAATTACACAAGAAGGGGCTTACCATGATCTTTAAGTTGCTCCTGTGGTTAAGGTTTTAGGGTAGACATAATTATTTTCCTTAAAGGTTTAAACATCTGGTTAGAGTAGCAGGAGTATTAAAATAGTATAACTTGGAAAAAGAAGCATAAAGCCATCTGATTGCATTGATTAATTCCTCAGGGATTTTGATCTCCTCTCTGAGTCTGGGCAATTCACCTAACTCTTTAAAAAACAACTTTCATGAGATATATAGTTATAAACTATATGCTTAAAGAGTACAATGAGTTTTGACAAAAAAAATGGTGAAACCATCAACATCTAGATGATGAATACATGCATCATATCAGTATTCTTTTCATGCCCCTTTGCAAACCCTCCCTTTTACCCCCTTTCCTAACTGTCCCCTGCCCAAGCCAACATCTCCCCCACAGCTCGAAACCCATCTCCCAGGATTTTCTGTCACTACCAATTAGTTTGCATATTTCTAGAATTTTATAAAAATGGAATTATGGAATCACAAAGCATGTACTTTTTTGGTCTTTTTCTCAGAGTAACTATTTTGACAGCCATCTATGTTTTTACATGTATTATAGTCTATTACTATATTTTACATTTTCATACATTTAGTGTATATAAATACAGTTTTGTTACATGGATATATTGAATAGCGATGAAGTCTATGCTTTCAGTGTAACCACCACCCAAATAGTGTCCATTGTACTCATTAGGTAATTTCTTATTCCTCAACCCCATCCCACCCTTCCACCTTTTCTAGTCTCCAATGTCTGTTATTCCACTCTTATTGCTGACTACTGTTCCATTATATGGATATGCCACATTTATTTATCTATTCCCTTGTAGATAGATATTTGGTTTATTTGCAATTTTAAGCTTTACAAATTAAGCTGCTATGAACATTTGTGTAGAAGTGTTTTTATAAGCACATGCTTTTATTTCACTCAGTTAAACACATGGGAGGGGAGTGGCTGGATCACTGACTTCTTAAAAATTAACTTCTTAAAAAAGTGCCAGACTTTTCTAATGTGTTTATACCACTTCATATTCCCATCAGTAGTGTATGATCATTCCAGTTTCTCTATACCCTCATTAACACTTTGTATGGTCAGTCTTAATTTTGGACATCCTAAAAGGTATATAGTATTTCATTGAGGTTTTAATTTGCCTTTCCCTAATGACTAGTGATATTGAGCACCTTTTCATGTGCTTATTTATCAGCTCTATGTCTTTTATTATTATTATTATACTTAAGTTTTAGGGTACATGTGCACAACGTGCAGGTTTGTTACGTATGTATACATGTGCCATGTTGGTGTGCTGCACCCATTAACTCGTCATTTAGCATTAGGTATATCTCCTAATGCTATCCCTCCCACCTCGCCCCACCCCACAACACGTGATGGTTGACTTTTTTGCCGCCTACTATTTATTTACTTTTAACATTGAGATTTGAGAGTTGTTCTTTATATATTCTGGGTACAAATCCTTTATCAGATGTATGCCTTGCACATGTTTTCTTTCAGTCTGCGGTTTGTCTTTTCATTTCTCTTAATAGTGACATTCAAAGAACAGTTCTCAATTTTGATGAGGTCAAATTTATAAACTTATTTGTCCCACTGAAAGGTAGATTCAGAGTTGTACTTAAATCTCCTGACACACAATCTACTGTATTTCCCATAAATTCTGTCTCTCAGGAGTGAAATTCCCACTTAACCTATCCTAAATAAAAAGATAGATACTCTCATCCCAAGTGATCCAGAAAGAGCAGCCCCTAACTCTCACCATCAAGAACATTTTTAGTAGTGAATTGTTCACCTTACAGTACATTTCAGAGGGAAATTTTGGGGAAATCTCATTAAGGACTTTGTTCTATGCAGTCCCGAGTCTCTTCTCAGGCCCTAATTAATTCTACATTTTTTCCCCTTTTCTACAGGCTACAAGGATTCAATCTGCTTTCCTTTATTTTGGAAGTTGTTTACACCCACTCTACTTTCTGGGTTTATTTCCTAGCAAGACTGCCTGCAGAGTAAGAAACCAAGTTTCTGTTTTCTCTTTCTTAATGTCCTGAGGATAGGCACACAGACCCTTTTTATTTTAAGAAGTTTAGTACTAATCACTATGGAAAAACAGATGGTAATAGCAAAAATAACATTACCAGGAAAGTTACAAAGGTTCTAAAAATTGTACAAAATTCTTACAGTGTATTATCTAGTCCATGGTTCTTGGCTCCCTCTAAAAGGCTAACAATCAGCCTGTTTGTAGTAGGTGGGGCTTCTCATCTACCTCTAGCAAAAGTTATTGTCTTCCACACATGCCATTCTTTCTAATCAGAGAAGGCACTATGCCCTGAAGATTCAATAAAGGAAAACACTGTATTCCCTTAAGTGGGAAATTTGTATCTCTGCAGGCATTCCAACTAGGTGATAGCCATAGTCCCGACCAAGAATGATTCCTTTTATTTACACAGACTTGGGGTTGCCCAGTTGAATCGATACTAAGAAGTCCTGGGAAATAAGAAAAATTCAGATACAAAAATATCATTCAGCGAGTTTCTAGAGACTAGAAACACAAATTTTCAGTTTCCAGAAATTAGTAGATAGATTCTGGGGTTTTCCTGCTTCTGGGACCTCAGAAATTAGACATAGTAACAAAAATGTTCCACATAGTAGGCAGTGGGGAGTTACACTCCAGTGGCTGGAGTTGGAAATGAAGTATTGACTTGAGCCAGTGAGAGAAGCCAGAAATGAGGCCATAATCCTGGAAAGCTGGGTCTGAATGGCAACACCAAATTGAGCAGGGGTGAATGCAGAAGTCATTTGCTAGCGCGTACTGTAAAGAGTAGGATCAGAGGATCATGCCAGCAGCATGGTAAAATATTTTGATGGCTTTCCACCTTTGGCTACATCTGGTTCTGACATCTCTTTCACCTAGCTTGCCTTAAAGGTGACCTCCTTTGTCAACTGTCTATTCTTATAATACATGGTCTCCATTCACTTGAACCTGTTTTGTGAGTTCATAGATCATTACAAGTGGCAGAAAAACTGAGTGATCCTGTAGTTCACCCCCCCATTTAACACATAATGAATAAGATACTTTATGAAAAACAAACATAATGAGACACATATGACACTGTGATGATTCCATGAGCAACCAACCAGATGTCAACAAGCTTTGAGGAGATTCTTCAAGACCTTTCTACATCATGGATTCATCCTGTATAATACCTGCCTTCCCTTTGTAATTTCATAGTTCAAAGGTCAAATGAAATGATGCTTATGAAAGCTCTTTAAAAATTATGAAGGCTGCAGGGAAATAAAACTCAAGACTCAGACAGTGATGCAGGCTTGTTTAAAATTATAGACTGGGTAATCCTAGGAAACAATTTAGAGAATTTGGGGAAACTTGTTTACAGTTCATATTAAAAAAGGAATGAACAGGAAGTATCTATAAGCTAGGGAAAAAGACACAATAATAACAACGAGAACCACCATTTGCTCAATGTGTATTGTGTTCTTGGTGTTCTCATTTTATTCTCACAATGACCTTATACATCATTACCTCTGTTTTCTGAGTGAGGCAACTGACACTTTGAGAGGCTAGGAAAATCCTCCAAGGCCAAGCAATTAGGAGGAGCTAAGGCAAGATTTGGAACGTATCAGTCTCACTGCAAGCCCATATTGTTAACTGACCACATGACCTTGCTTCTTTAACAAAAACAAAACTTCTTGGAGGTTTGGGTGCTATATACATACATATATGTGTTTATATTACATTATATAATTTTATATATATATATATATTTTTTTTTTTTTTGAGACAAAGTCTTATTCTGTGAGCCAGGCTGGAGTGCAGTGGCACACTCTCAGCTCACTGCAACTTCTGCCTCCCAGGTTCAAGCAATTCTCCTGCCTCAGCATCCAGAGCAGCTGGGATTACAAGCATGTGCCACCATATGCGGCTAATTTTTTTTTTCTTTTTTTAAGTATAGATGAGGTTTCACCATGTTGGCCAGGCTGGTCTCGAACTCCTGACCTCAGGTGATCCACCTGCCTTGACCACCCAAAGGGTTCAATATATTGGAAAGTGATGGTCTTTTGAGCAAGCATAAGCCTGATTTCATGACTTACCCAGTGATTTCTGAGCAGTGGTGGGGGGCGGGGGACGGCGGGGCACAGTGGTGTTAAGTACTTATGAAGGTGATGCCCCAGGAGAAGATGAGTGCTTCAAAGAACTAAGCAGCCTCTCCAGGGGAGATCTCAGTCAAGGGATGAACAAATTATCCAATTGCCCACCATCCACACATTTAAGGGAAAAAAAGAGTTATTTCTTCTGACCTACTATTTGGAAAATGGGATGTGAAGTTGCCTCACTAAAAGGCGAGAGTGGAATCTTCGATGTTGCTGATAATGCTTTATTGAGAGCTGCAGAGGCACTGGCCCCAGTCAAATAAGAGACTTAATTAAAGTTTGGAAATCATTTTACTGGATTGCATAAACAGAGAAAACCACCTCTTTCTCAAGCTACTCACTCCCATGCAGAAACATCCCCTTAGCATCAAAGTTCTGACTATCTAAGACCCAGAGAGATATTCTAAGGGAAAATAGCAACTACTTTGATATTCCTGTGTGAATAGAATTAAGAGGCATGAGAAATTCCAGCCAGGTGGGTTTTAGTTTTCTAACAGCAGAAGCCAGAAGTAATGGATTTAGACAAAAACTTATTTAGACCCAACTGCTAGAGTTATCAAAAGGAAATTGAACTGAATCTTCTGGAGGCCTGGAGAATTCAGCTTGGTGTCCCCACTTTACAGTGGTTGTGTATACTGAATGAGTTAACGCAGTGATTCTAAACCAAAGGCTATTTTGCCCTCCAGAGGGCAATTGGCAATATTTGGAGACAAATTTGATTGTCATAACTTAACTAAGAGAGTGCTACTGGCTTCTAGTGAGTAGGTTGTCATAACTACGAGAGTGCTACTGGCATCTTCTGAGTAGAGATCAGGAATGCTGCTAAACATGCTACAATACACTGGACATCCCCACTCCCTGCCCTGCAATGAACACACCAAGGAATTATCCAGTTCAAAATTTCAACAGTGCTGAGACTGAAAAGCCCTGTGAGAGTGCAAAAATGAAACTCTGAGGACAGTACATAGCACATAGTTTGCTCTCAGTATCAACTATTGCTTTTATGACTATAGAGCCAGGATAACATAGAACCACTCTGCTGAGGAAGCTGCTCCTGCTGCTGCTGTAACCAAGGAGTCAACTCTCCAATTGTCCCAGCTGCTTAGCCAGTCATCTGGCTCCTGCTTCCAGGAACAGACTCCTGCAAGGTTCTGATTCTTGGCATCATTACCCCTTGGGTCAAAGTCTAGTGTTGATGTAACTGATTGGTGAAATGTAGATTGCTGACTGTGCTTGAGCTAAAGGCAAGATGGAAAGGAGAGTATCTAACATTTTTGGCTTCTGTAATGGGAGATTGGACCTGCTTCCCACCAAACTTCACAGTGAGGTGATTCCCCAAACACAGGAAAAAATTCAATTAGACAAAAGGAATAAGAAATTTCCATTACACTGAGATATTGCAGTCAGTGATCTGGAAAGTGACAGAGATTATTACAAAAATTACTGAGAGAAAGGAAAAGTTATTTTCTATGTTGTTCTAAAACAGTAGGGAGTTTGTATTGAGTTATGTAACTAGAAGAGAGTTCCACCATTCGACACATTTGTTCTTCTTACTTTGAATTTACAATGAAATTATTAGTACTGAAGTTATTCTTAATGTTCCAATTATCAAGTGGCTCCTTCTAGCCTATATTTTGGTGACTTTTCTGCAGTATTTCACACCACTGACTCTCTGTTGCTTAAAATTCTTTATTCTCTTGATTTCTGCAATATCCTTGAATTTTTTGTCTGGATTCTTCTTTGCCTGTCTCTTAATTCCTGAAGTTATTTAGGGTTTAATTCTTGGTTTTATTCTTATTCTGCATATTCTCTAGTAGATATTGTCTATGTCCTGAATTCTGCTACCGGCTAAGGCTGAATGATATTTACATTTAAGGCCTTGCTGCAGATCTCTCCATGCAATACTAACCCATTTTGCCATCTACCTACTATTTGATTATCTCAAAGTTAGCCTGTCTAGAATGGACACTATTATCTATCTTTCTCCTTCACCTTTTTTCCCCATATTTTCTATCTTATTTTGTGTTGCCAAGATTTGCTAAAACAATTAAATAAGTGGGAAATATTCTAGATTCTTCTTCTCCCTTATGCCCATGTTCAATTAACAATTAGGTCCTTTTGACCCTATGTCTCTAATATACTATATTTTCACCTTCTCCAACCAAAATTATTTGTTTACATGTGTTTCAATCACATTAGATAATAAATGTGTTGAAATCAGGAAAACATCTTATTTAATTTTATATTCACAGAACTGAGAACTGAGACTGCCTATGTTAACATAACTTGATTATAAAGATAAAACTGTAAACTAATAAATAATTTTGCTGTTTGTTTCAGGAAATTATTGCAGACCAATTTATCCAGGCAACAGTTTGCCCATCTGCGCAAACAGTTCTCTTATTGGACAACATCATTTTCGCTTGGGCAAACAGCTCAATTTTCAGGCAACTGTTTTCTCACAAAGAGCCTTATGTCTGTCTCAAACTATTGTGTCATGAATGTTGCCCAATCTTGACAACCTTCACACCTTAAAAAACAAACCTCAAACCATTTAAGTACAGTCCCCTAAACCCTATTAATACCCTTCTGTTGTCTCCTCTTGAGACTGATAAAACCCTGTTAATGTGGTTTTCTCCCTTATTGCAGTATGTTTAATAAATTCTGCTTTGCCAAACAACAGGTTTATCTGGTGGATGTTATAAAGGAGTCAACAATCACCAGGTCCAAACACAATCTTTGACACCTAACAGAAGCTCAATTAAATTTTTTTTCATTAAGTAACTAGGCAGAAACTCAGGTAGGGTATTATATGAGATAAATATGGGGGAAAGGGAGAACAAGGTATTAGTCACAAGGAAAAAGAAAACTGGTTATACAAGAGTCCAGGAAATCTATTAAAAGGCTAAGGGAATAGAACTGACTCTGAAACATAAGAATCTTAGAGCTCCATGAGATTGTTAATCTATGAGGTTGGCCAATCAATTGTGCACACATGTGTTAGCCTCTGTAAGGTGTCACATAGAAGGGACATGAAACTATCTGATGGATCTTGCAATAAACAGTGTCACTTTTTTCAGTATTTTCTATTCCTAAAGGAAAGGCTTTTTCTGTATTTCTGGTCTAGGATGAAGCTCAAGATTTTCCTGTATGGGTTAATGGGAGATAAACATACATTCATTTAAACATTCAGTATTTAGAATATTTAGTATTTAGTATTTGCTATGTCAAAACACCATTCTAGTTTCTAGCAACATTGAGATGAATATGGAGGGGGCTGAAAAACTAAGGGTTTATTTTATCAAAGAGAAGCAAATGAAAGGAAATAACATGTTAGAGCCATACAATTCTAAAAGGGCTCATTCATGTTCATAAATTTTCAGGTTATCTTCTGCTGACCCTCAGAAAAACCTATAGAAGGCAAAAACATCTTCGAAGGAGGTTCTCTTTACTTCACGTGAACTCATCATTAACTTAAGTACTGTAGCCTAGAAATCATTGTCAATTGCATTTTTTTTGCAGAGCAAAACCACCTTTTTTGTTTGTTTGTTTAAAGGAGTGGAACACTGAGTAACTCTTGAAATGGAAAATGACTATATATCACTTAGTATAATTATGGCCTTCACCAATAACTTTATCTGTCAAGCCAAATAATTAGTAAAGCTCTCCAGTGTGGTAAATCCAAAATGCTCTTGGTCATTTACTCCAGTGTATAACAGCTTTTAATATCAGTAAATATTTCTTAGCAACAAATGTTAAATCTTCCTTCTCTTGTGAATACTAGGTCTCATTTTCTTGTTCTTGATTCAATAAAGATGAAGACAGTCTGGCTGTTCTTCAAGA
The DNA here is from genome assembly GCF_000001405.40 of Homo sapiens. Lineage (NCBI taxonomy): Eukaryota > Metazoa > Chordata > Mammalia > Primates > Hominidae > Homo > Homo sapiens. The sequence continues at coordinate 49,419,148 of NC_000002.12, forward strand.
AAGAAAAATGTTAGAGGCTTACATTAATTAAACTATTGGTATATTTGTTGAAGTTCATGAGACGCTGAATTATACCCTAGGAAGTAAGACATACATGCAAAAAACAAAACAAAACAACAACAACAAAAAACAAACAAACAGCAAAGTAACAATGCCCAATTATATAAAGGCCAAAAAGCTCAGGTGAAAAAGTGCAAACAGAAGTGGAGGCCAAGAAAAGAATGTGGGAGAGAATGAAATATGTGAGCCTCAAACAGAATAGAAAAATGGGCAAAAAGAAAAGGTTGGGGAGGGAAGGAAAGCAGCATGAATGAAGGATGATAAAGGATTAGTTTGAAGGTGAAATTTTACTTTATTCTTAACACCAGAGATCTATATGCTACTCACGGATATTTATTAAATAATTATGAGTAATGCATACTCATTAAAATATAAATACATTTAAGATAGAAAGAACAACAAAAATTATCTCTAATCACACTATTCCCTCCTCCCTATTGATGTTTTAGCCTTGTTTATTACAGACCTTTTCTGGGCACTTTAAAAGGCGTACTTTCACCCAAATACAGACTTGATTGTGAACTTTTAAATTTATTATTGCATAAGATTTTTTATGTTAGTTATACATCTCATTTGATCAAGTATATATACGCCAAAGTTTTATTTAATAATTCATACATAGTTATATCTTTGAGTAACCTTATAATTAGAATTTGTATAAATCGTTTTGCTACTAAGATCTTTGTACAAAATACTATTTTTCTGTTGTATAATCACTGAGAATGGAGTGAAATGGAGTGGACAAAACACAGACTTTGGAGTTAAATAGAACTGGTTTTGATTTTCAGTTCTGCTCCTTATAGCTTGTAATTTTAAGCAATGTATCTAACTTCTCTTGGGCCTTGGTTTCCTAAAATATAAAATAAAAATCACTATGGTTACTTTGTAGTACTATTCTGAGAATAAGAATTAATAACTGCAAAGTGTAATGTGCTTAGAACATTCCCTGACACACAATGAATGCTCATTAAATAACAGTTATTATCAATATTGTTATGAGTATTAAACCTGATATTATATGGTTCTCCTTGGGGATAATGGGAAATATCCCACGGTTGGGGTGGGGATAGGAAGATGTCATGAAGGAAAACATGAAAAATAAATTCAAAGTGAAGTTTGTAGCCTGATTTAATAGAATATGAGCATCTATTCAAATTCTACCTTTCAGTTTCCAGATAATCAAGATCATTTTATGATTCTAGAGCAATAGAGTGTTTTAATGAAAGCAATGTACTAAGAGAATTAATAATTAATCTTGTATTTTTCCCCAGGTTAAATAACTTTGATATTATTAGCTTTTCCCTATCACACCTCATGTATTCCACATTAACCCTTTGATTCTGCCTGTAGCTTTCCACTTATGTAGATACAACTTCTATTTAAGTCTTTGAGATGATTCCTTAGATCCTATTCCCTACTCAAACACAGATAACTCAGTTTGGCATAAAAAATAAAAATTTGGAATTGCCTAACTACACATCAGAAAAACAAAAAGACAATAACAAAAATTCTATACCTGAATGCCAATTGCGAATCTTTGTCTAGCAAAATAAATTAAATAGCTGAGTCCTGAAAGGCGGCCGCACAAAATACTTTGGAAGGTATTTTATTACTGAACTCTTAATATATGTGTTCTTGCATTCATGTAAGTTCTTCAAAGATTTATTCTCTCAATTACCAATCAAAATAACTAATAAAAGGAGAACCAGTGGACCAGGCAGGATTAGAGCTGCCTGGGAAGATAGATGCACTGGCCATAGCATCTCAGCTTTAAACAACCTCACTTACTGCTAATTCTGGACCAAGTGACAGCTAACAGAGTGGCTCATGATTAATCATTTGGATTTTTTAAAAGCCCCAAACCCTGCTTCTTAGGATTTAATTAAGATTGAAACTAAATGTCTTGATTCTTAAGTATACTTTGTAAGAAGTCAGAAACTTGGTTCCTTTAAGGAAAAACAAAGAACAAAAACTAGTAACATGGTAAAACCTAAGAAACAAATTTTTTTTTTTTTTTTTTGGACAGAGTCTTGCTCTGTCGCCCAGGCTGGAGTGCAGTGGCCCGATCTCGGCTCACTGCAAGCTCCGCCTCCTGGGTTCACGCCATTCTCCTGCCTCAGCCTTCCCAGTAGCTGAGGCTACAAGCGCCTGCCACCACGCCCGGCTAATTTGGTTTTGTATTTTTGGTAGAAATGGGGTTTCACCGTGTTAGCCAGGATGGTCTCGATCTCCTGATCTCATGATCCACCCGCCTCAGCCTCCCGAAGTGCTGGGATTACAGGCTTGAGCCACTGCGCCCGGCCGAAACACAGTTTTAAAAAAGCCATTGAAAGGTGTTTTGTTTCCTTCTAGAACATTAAAACACACATGCACACATACATACTCACACGCACAAACAGAAGAGAAAGATAACTGTACTCTGATTTTGGCACCTATACTGAAATCTATAAATATTGTTATTACCTGCTTGGGTTTGGATTTCTTTCTTTTCCTTCCTAGGAATGAGTGGCAGTTATAAATAGTATTTGTTTGTTTAGTTTTTATAATATTCTTAACAAGCACCTTGAATGTCCTTGCCTTCCTTCTCTCAATTGGTTTTCCATGAATATGTCACAAATGTCACTGAAGTAAACAATATGAGCTTCGAAAATTAGCATCTAGAATTTACTTAAAATACTTTATAAAAACAAATCATTTTTATTTTATGATTGAAATATGTCTACATGATCATTTTCTTTTTAAGCTCTTTTTCCATTAAAGATGTGTCCTAACATTTTACATGGTTTTTCTGCCCTCTAGTCTATTCAGCTACCCATTATTAATTATTTGTAAACACAAACTTACATATGCTAAGGGAACTTCCATTTAAAGGCATTCAATGTTGAATTCCTTTATAATGTCTGCATTTAATAAAGTAAAAGGAGTGAGAAAAAAGATCTGGGAACAGGGCACTGGCTATGTAAGGAGGGCAAGGTGGGGGCAGGGAGTTGGGGGCTTGGAATTTGGTGTTTGATGTTTGAAAGGAGCCATGGCTAGGGCACATGTCAATACATTGTGTAAACCAAAAATTAAATTCTAAGCTCCCGACTGACTGATGATGGACCCCCATTCTCAGCCAAGGACATTCCAAAGTAAACCTGAAAAACTAGTTCAGGCCACATTGACAAGGGAGGGTTCAACAGGCCACATCATACCCTCCTGCCTTTGGAATTTAGGCACAACTGACCAGCATTAATATTAAAACAGAGATCTTAAGACCGACAAAATAGACTCTTTGTAATAATAAGGTATCCAATTCCAACATGACTCCAGTATAACATCACATGGCAGATAGCAGGTCCTTAAAGAAACTGAAGTATTTTACCTCCAAATATATTTCTTTGAAATATTTTGAAATGGTCCTGCAAATCAATCTCTTACGGGGGAAATCTGCATTCTGTAGAGAATTCTCTTCCCTTTCCAGGATCTCTTCCTGATCCAGAAGATAACTAAGAGTCTGGCACCTTCTTAGGTCTGATAAGAGTTCTGAAGCCTGCTACCTGGAGGCTTCATCTGTATAATAAAAACCTGAGTCCCCACAACCCCTTATCTAGACACTCCTTTCTATAGAGTCCAGGTGTTTATATAATATAGCTCTTTCAACCAACTGCCAATTGGAAAATCTTTGAATCCACCTGTGACCTGGAAGCCCCTGCTTTGAGTTGTCCCATCTTTTTGGATAGAGCCAATGTGGACCTTACATGTAGTGACTGATGTCCACCTGTAGCTTCTGCCCTCCTGAAATATATAAAAATCAACCGGTAAACCAACCATGGGCACATTTTCTAGGACTTCCTAGGGTTGGGTCGTGGGTCATGATCCTCATATTTGGCAAAGAATAAATTTCTTTAAATATTTTATGGAGTTTGCCTCTTTTCATTGACAATTGTTTCACTGTTTTTCACTTTGTTTTATTATCACACCTAAAGCAATGTTTTGCCTTCTTATGCTTTTTTCCCTACCTAACTGCTGTCCCCACCCCTCTTATACCTATTTTTACACTGTAGTTACATCTGTGTTCTATACATAAAAATTCTATACATAAAAACTTATTTTTACTCCCCCATGTACATACACTCCCTTAGGGGTGATATTGTTCCCAATGTGTTTACTGTGTTTAAGAGATAGATTGGACGAATGATGTGGTGTAAGAGAAATTTTATATCTCATAAAGGATATGCAGTAGTCAGGACTGATGAACTATTTGAATGGAAAACATCAGAGCCAAAGTCCATTGTTTTGGAGTTATATAAAAAAGGACACTTCTTTTAGGAGAAACTACTAGATGCTATATTGGCAATGTGAGGTCTGGTCAGGTTTGAATTCATCTGTTGTCCATGGATGTGTCTTTCCCATTACAACCACATGAGATTCATTCATTCATTCCGCTAATACTTATTCATCAGTTTCTACGTTGTATGTTAAAGTGGTATCTATCACCTGTCCGTAGAAAAGTAAATACTTGCTGTAAAATCAGAATTATGTCATGCACTAATCAAATAATCCTACTTATTAGGCTACTGCTGGTATCTTTTCATAAGATCCAGGTTAATTATTGCAGAGATTGTTTCAGTAGCCTCATATATCAATTATAAATTCCTATACTTGGATTCTTTCCAAGTATAGGAAAGTTTCCTTAAAGAGAATTCATTAAAGAGCAAGAGGTATGCTTCAGGTTTGGTGTGTATTATCAGATGAATTGTATCTCCCAAAAAGATACGTTAAAGTCTGAATGCCCAGTACCTCAAAATGTGATATTATTTGGAGATAGAGTCTTTGTAGCGGTATTCAAGTTAAAAGAAAGTCATTAGGGTGGACCCTCATCTAATACAAATAATGCCCTTATAAAAAGGGGGAATTTGGACACTGTGTCAGTCTGGTAAGGATTCCATAGCAAAATACCACAGGCTAGACGGTATTAAATAACATTAATTTATTTGGTGGCTAGAAGTCCAAGATCAAGGCTCCCTCAGGGTTGGTGGCTGGTAACACCTCTCTTCCTGGCTTGCTGATGGCCACCTTCGAAGAGGGTCCTCATTTGGCTTTCCTTTTGTGCATACACAAAAAGAGGCCAAAGGCCACCTCTGGTGTCTTTCTCTTCTTCTAAGGACACCAATTCTGTCGAATTAAGGGCCCATGCTTATGACCTCATTTAACATTAATTACCTTGTTATAGGTTCTACCTTCAAACAGAGGCGCACTAGGGCAAGGGCTTCGACATATGAACTTTGGAGGGACACTATTCAGCTCCTAATAGATATAGGACTGACGCAGACAAAAAGATGTGAAGTGACACAAGGAGAGGACAGTCATCTACAAGCCAAAGAGAGAGGTTTGGAATAGATCCTTCACTCACAGCCCTCAAAGGGAGCCAACCCTGCCAGCCTCTTGATTTCAGACTTCTAGCCTCCAGAACCGAGTCAATACATTTCTGTTGTTTAAGGCATCCAGCTTGAACTTTGTTACAGCAGCCCTAGCAAACTAATACAGTGATCCTCACAGTCTCATAAAGTAAAAAAAAGTTTATGCAAGCCTCATGATCATTAGCCTGAGAAACTGGAGGTCTAGCTCAAAGGAGGAAAAGAAAAATAATTAAAGCCAAAGTCTTCTGTAACAAATTTTGAAACCATCTATCAGAATATAACTGGCCCATTATTCTGCTTTAGGCAAAACTACCCATATACAGACCTTGCTGTGCCTGTGGATTATTACCTGCTCTTCTGGGCACTGGACCATTTGCTGTCAGAGTGAATGGAAACTGTGGCAATGATGGGATTCAAGACACACTACCGTAAATTATGGCACCTTGGTATTCTGGAAAACAGAGAAGCAGGAAGGCCACTTTTATCTTCCCTTTCCTCTTCTCGCTTGAAGCAGATCATAACACTCTCTTCTGAGAGGGGCCCTCCCTATACTTCAAGGAAAGGAACATCCTTATCTCTGAAGACACGGGAATACAGAGGAGAATCAGAAAAAATCAGGCCTTGGTAAATCCACCTCCCTAAGTTTATTACCATTAGATTATAGCCTCTTTTGTCCAGTCAGACTTCTCTATGACCTCTTCTTCAAACCTAAGCATAAAAATATACAAGTTTACTTGTTTAAGTCTTCATTTCTGAAGTCTCGTGTGTCACACAAAATCACATAAAACTCAAATAAATGTGTATGCTTTTCTCTTGTTAATCTTTCTTTAGTTATAGAGGCCTCAGCCATGAACTTAGCAATGGGTGAGAAAAAGAAATCATTTCTCTCCTATAGGAGCTTATACTGAAAAGCAAGATAGGGACCTACATGACCATGGTGGAGAAGAAAGGACATTGTGAAGGATAAGGCGGCAAGAATGGAGAAGGAGTTAGAGATAAGGTTGATTTATGGATATGAGTAAAGATAAAGAATCTCTGGGATGGAGAAATGAACAAGGGTCTTGAGAAGTAATGAATTAATTAATTAAAGGGATGATAATCAGAAAAAATTATATTTGTAGAAAGTGGCCAGAGAACACAGGGAGCCCATGGAGAAGACTGGTCAGGATTGGAGAAATGAGAGATCAGCAAGTGATACTTCATGCTGCATGTTCCCAATAAAGGTTATTTACCTCTTTCAAGGGCTACATTTCTCAGCTGCTAATTAGGTCAAACTACTGGGATTCTTGGTCTCCCTTTAGAAAATTGTGTTTTATCCAGCTTTTGTACACTTTTTGGCTAAGAGGCAACCTCTCTAGTACTACATCACGTAGCCAGAATGGATTGATGTGATACTGGGGAGTTAACAAAAACTGACATACGTGACATCAGTTCAAAGATTTAAAAAGGAAATAAAATATTTTAGCCATCTTAATACAACTCATTTTCTTCACAATAATCTTTACAGATCTTCCATTTTTTCTGTCTGATACAAAATATTTAGATTATCCTCTCTGTCTCTCTCTAAAACACTGTCAAAGATCCACTTGTCTCCATCTGATTATACTGTTGGACACAAGATTTTTAGTCCTGTATTTCAACACAGTGGATTTTCCACACTCAAAGTAGCCTTTTTTATGCTGGTGGTTGCATTATGATATAATGAAAGTTGTTTGCTTTTGCTAAAGTAAGAAAAAAAGATGGAGTGAAATCAACTGTGATTTTTTTTTTTTAATGCTAGCTTTTCCTATTTAGAAGATTGTTACTGATGGTATGGCAGAAAACATATTGCTATATTAACAAGGTCACTCAGTCACAAAATCCTATTAATGTGGAAAATGACAGAACCAAGCTGCATGGTGACAAATAAGGCAAATTCTCACCTCGTATTCTTAAGAGTCCTCGTTCAAAATCACACGGATGGCAGGAAAGCTGAGAAGAAATTCAAGAGGTGTGCATGACTCTGTAAAAAACATAATTCATATATCATCAGTAGTGACTCTTATAATTTTATTTTTTTTTAACTTTTTGAAAAAACTATGGTAGCAAAGTAAATCAGGGAATGCAGTTTCAAATTTATGTTCATATAAAAGACTTATCTACAGAAGTATAAAGAAACCTGCTGAGTAGAAAATTTCAAAATAAACAACATACATTTATAATATCACTGACATGTTTAGTTTTTTATTTTTTCTTAGAATTAAAGGCACCAAAAAGTCATTTGCATTTTAAATGATAGTAAATGCATTTCAGATTTAGTTGTCAATTTAATGAAGCCTCAAATATTGATTTTAGCAAAACAGTAAAGTAGGAAATAAAAATAAAAAGGATTATTATTATGGTATCCTGGAGGGGAAAACTATGGTCACTTCAGTCAATGAGACACTAACTTTAGTGGTGTTGTCTAGGCAAATAAAAATACAGATTGCCTTGATTTAGCTTAAGCAGGAAAAGGAATCTTGTGGGTTTATGGTTTCATAAATTGTTCTGAATGCTTAACATCCCATGAAGAGGCAGCAAACAATGAAGATACTTCATTCAAGAATACAAAACCAGCATACCCAGGCAAAAGCCTCGTCATTCAGATTTAGCATCTTGTTATCCATGTTTGCATTGCTGAAAGGTCTTCTTTGACTAGTCTCAAAGCTTTTTCACTTAGACATTACAGACCATTTTACTTCTGCATTTTAAACACCTAAGAGTCTGACCTGACTTTATAGCTAAACGGAAACTTCGTATACGAGATTATTTATTTTAATGCTTTATGGCCTTTTGATGAACACAGATAAATTACGCACACTTTGAGAACAAACTATTCTTTCACGTGTTGAAAACTTAACTGTTTGGCTCCACCAAATACTTTCATTTTTCATTGGAAAACATTAGGAAAATTAAAGTTAGATGTATTGTTTACTGTAAGGTTGACATAAAGCAGGATCATACAAAATTGAAAGTTTTACGTAGATTGCCCAGCCAGTGGGATATCATGACTTACCCCACAAAAAATTATACCTGTAACAGTCCTCTCTCTCCATATTCTTTTAGAATTTCTCAAGTAAGAAAAGGATGGTGTTACAGCTTTGCTTATCTTATGTTTCAGCATCAGTTATTGATATAACTACTTTTGTTTTACAGAATAGGAATGGTATAATACATCTTAACAGGACTCCTATCTGGAATATTCTTACCATGATATTCAACTTCTCTGGGTCTAATCTCTAGAGATCTATGTGTACTTACATGAACACCACTTTAGCCAGTAATGACTTGCTCTCTCTGTTGGCTTAGGCCACTTACTTGCCTTTATTTTAGATCCCATTGTTACCTGTATTTTTCAAAGGTATGTATCCTGTGATTCTAGCTTACTGTAAAACCTTAACGATCAAGATTTTCAACTTACATACATGTTCTTTTTCGTTTACAAAGCAGCAAACTCTAGATACAGTACACACTCTTCTCAGACAAAATCCCAATCATCCATCAATTTTTGTTTCAGTTACTGGGATGCCCTAGGGTAAATTAATGTCGGATACTTTTAAAATAAAGGCCTCTAACTTTATAATTCCATTCAGTTTTTTCCCCAGATTTGATTTGTACTTCTTCTGACCTTACTTTTTAACCTGCTATTAACATGTTTTATTATAGTATCTCTTTTTTATCAAGTGATAGATGACTAAATAAAAAAGTAGACTATTAGCATATGCTTATAAATGCTTTATTTAATAATTACTTAAAAAACTTTGTTGACTATTGTGATAAATTATTTTGAATTTAGTTCCTGTTTCCAATGAATTCAATCTATGAGGAGAGAGGGTGCTAGAGACATAGAAAAATTCCAGATTAGACAACAGTATTATATGAGTAAGAACAGAAGATTGTACTAAACATATTCAGCCCAAGAGGAGAAAGATGGCCTCATTGTGACATTAGAATACGCCATGAAGAAAGGTGGACTTTAGCTAGTTTAATTTGGGGAAAGACAATTTATAGAATGGAATTAATGTAAACCGAAGAAATAAATTAGGAAAAAACATATTTAAGAATTACCAAATTAAAACTGTCTCTCAGACCAGAGTACAATCAAATTAGAACTCAGGATTAAGAAACTCACTCAAAACCACACACCACATGGAAACTGAACAACCTGCTCCTGAATGACTACTGGGTACATAACGAAATGAAGGCAGAAATAAAGATGTTCTTTGAAACCAATGAGAAAAAAGATAACAACGTACCAGAATCTCTGGGAGACATTCAAAGTAGTGTGTAGAGGGAAATTTATAGCACTAACTGCCCACAAGAGAAAGCAGTAAAGATCTAAAGTAAAGACCCTAAAATCACATTTAAAAGAACTAGAGAAGCAAGAGCAAACAAATTCAAAAGCTAGCCGAAGGCAAGAAATAACTAAGAACAGAGCAGAACTCAAAGAGACAGAGACATAAAAAGTGCTTCCAAAAACAAAAAAAAAATCAACGAATCCAGGAGCTGGTTTTTTGAAAAGATAAAGATCAATAAAACAGATAGACGCTAGCCAGACTAACAAAGAAAAGAGAGAAGAACCAAATAGACGCAATAAAAAATGATAAAGGGGATAGCACCACCGATCCCACAGAAATACAAACTACCATCAGAGAATACTATAAAGACCTCTACACAAATAAACTAGAAAATCTACAAGAAATGGGTAAATTCCTGGACACATACACCCCCCCAAGACTAAACCACGAAGAAGTTCAATCTCTGAATAGATCAATAACAAGCTCTGAAATTGAGGCAATAATTAATAGTCTACCAACCAAAAAAAGTCCAGGACCAAACGGATTCAGAGCCCAATTCTACCAGAGGTACAAAGAGGAGCTGTTACCATTCCTTCTGAAATTATTCCAATCAACAGAAAAAGAGGGAATCCTCCCTAACTCATTTTATGAGGCCAGTATCATCCTGATACCAAAACCTGGCAGAGACACAACAAAAAAAGAGAATTTTAGACGAATATCCCTGATGAACATCGATGCAAAAATCCTCAATAAAATACTGGCAAACCAAATCCAACAGCACATCAAAAACCTTATCCACCACAATCAAGTTGGCTTCATCCCTGGGATGCAAGGCTGGTTCAACATACGCAAATCAATAAACGTAATCCATCACATAAACAGAACCGATGACAAAAAACACGATTATCTCAATAGATGCAGAAAAGGCCTTCAACAAAATTCAACAGCCCTTCATGCTAAAAACTCTCAATAAACTAGGTATTGGTGGAACGTATCTCAAAATAATAACAACTATCTATGACAAACCCACAGCCAGTATCATACTGAATGGACAAAAACTGGAAGCATTCCCTTGGAAAACTGGCACAAGACAGGGATGCCCTCTCTCACCACTCCTATTCAACATAGTGTTGGAAGTTCTGGCCAGGGCAATCAGGCAAGAGAAAGAAATAAAAGGTATTCAATTAGGAAAAGAGGAAGTCAAATTGTCTCTATTTGCATATGACATTATTGTATATTTTGAAAACCCCGTTCTCTCAGCCCCAAATCTCCTTATGCTGATAAGCAACTTCAGCAAAGTCTCAGGATACAAAATCAATGTGAAAAATCACAAGCATTCCTATACACTGATAACAGACAAACAGAGAGCCAAATCATGAGTGAACTCCCATTCACAATTGGTACCAAGAGAATAAAATATCTAGAAATACAACTTACAAGAGATGTGAAGGACCTCTTCAAGGAGAACTACAAACCAACTGCTCAACGAAATAAAAGAGGACACAAACAAATAGAACATTCCATGCTCATGGATACGAAGAATCAATATTGTGAAAATGGCCATACTGCTCAAGGTAAATTATAGATTCAGTGCCATCCCCATCAAGATGCCAGTGACTTTCTTGACAGAATTGGAAAAAACTACTTTAAAGTCCAAATGGAACCAGAAAACAACCTGCATTGCCAAGACAATCCTAAGCAAAAAGAACAAAGCTGAAGGCATCATGCTACCTGACTTCAAACTATACTACAAGGCTGCAGTAACCTAAGCAACATGGTACTGGTACCAAAACAGAAATACAGACCAATGGAACAGAACAGACGCCTCAGAAATAACACCGTACGTCTACAACCATCTGATCTTTGACAAACCTGACAAAAATAAGTAATGGGGAAAGGATTCCCTATTTAATAAATGGTGCTGGGAAAACTGCCTAGCCATATGTAGAAAGCTGCAACTGGATCCCTTCCTGACACCTTATGCAAAAATTAATTCAAGATGGATTAAAGAGTTAAATGTGAGACCTAAAACCATAAAAACCCTAGAAGAAAACCTAAGCAATACCATTCAGGCCATAGGCATGGGCAAGGATTTCATGGCTAAAACGTCAAAAGCAATGGCAACAAAAGCCAAAATTGACAAATGGGATCTAATTAAACTAAAGAGCTTCTGCATGGCAAAAGAAACTACCATCAGAGTGAACAGGCAACCTACAGAATGGGAGAAAATTTTTGCAAACTACCCATCTGACAAAGGGCTAATAGCCAGCATCTACAAAGAACTTACACAAATTTACAAGAAAAAAACAACCCCATCAAAAAGTGGGTGAAGGATATGAACTGACACTTCTCAAAAGAAGACATTTATGCAGCCAGCAGACACATGAAAAGATGCTCATCATCACTGGCCAGCAGAAGGATGCAAATCAATACCATAATGAGATACCATCTCACGCCAGTTAGAATGGCGATCATTAAGAAGTCAGGAAACAACAGATGCTGGAAAGGATGTGGAGAAATAGGAAAGCTTTTACACTGTTCATGGGAGTGTAAATTAGTTCAACCATTGTGGAAGACAGTGTGGCTATTCTTCAGGGATCTAGAACTAGAAATACCATTTGACCCAGCAATCCCATTACTGGGTATATACCCAAAGGATTATAAATCATGCTACTATAAAGACACATGCATACATATGTTTGCTGCAGCACTATTAACAATAGCGAAAACTTGGAACCAACCCAAATGTCCATCAATGATAGACTGGATTAAGAAAATGTGGCAAATATATATACGATGGAATACTACACAGCCATAAAAAAGGTTGAGTTCATGTCCTTTCAAGGACATGTATGAAGCTGGAAACCGTCATTCTCAGCAAACTATCACAAGGACAGAAAACCAAACACCATATGTTCTTACTCATAGGTGGGAATTGAACAATGAGAACACTTGGACACAGTCCGGGGAACATCACACACCAGGGCCTGTTGTGGGGTGGGGAACTGGGGGAGGGATAGCATTAGAGAAATACCTAATGTAGATGACAAGTTGATAGCTGCAGCAAACCAACATGGCTCATGTATACCTATGTAACAAACCTGCACCATTGTTCACATGTACCTTACAACTTAAAGGATAAAAAAAAAAAAAAATGAATTACCAAATTAGAACCATCCTGAAAGAGTTGAGTGTAGATAGAACTGCTTAAATAATATTAGGTATTTGAATATATATTCAAATAATATATTCAAACAAACTGTAAATTGTGGATAGAAAAACTAAACTGATGAACAACTAATTATTTGAGAAGAATATTGTAGGTAAAACTATTACAAAAATAAATGGAAAAAAATAGTAATATTACAAGTGAGGAAGTACATAAAAAAACACAGATACCAAATAACTTATTTCAATAAAAATAAGATACCATCTGCTCAACCAAAAAATAAGTCACACTATGAAGTTGCAAAAATTAAATGGGAGGCATATCAGCACAGGAATAAACTTATAGACTAATTAAATTGAAAACAATATTCAGTAGAAGCCCGAGATGTATATATAACTTTACTACTTTATAAAGGCAGCAATTCAGATCAGTTAGAAAGATTATTCAATGACTACTGTTAGGCAACTGGCTGATCCATTAGAAAAATATAGTTAGATTATTTTCTCATACCACATATCGTGCAGAAATAAAAAATTTAAACAACACATAAAATTGCTTTCAAAATATAGACAAATATTTATAAATTTCTGGTATGCAAAAAGCCATTCAGAGAATGACTCAATTTCTTCAAATAGTAAAATTTTTATTAAAACAAGCAAACAAAAAGTAATGAAGTCTATTTATTTAAAAAACAATAGAACAAAACCTGCTTTTTATATATGATTGAAAAAGTAAAAACCATTTACAACCAGTATTTTTTTAGTTACTAAAAATCTAGCTGTGTGGCATCAACATGCAACACACACATGTACTTTTTTTCCTTTAGAAGAGATATGGTTTTGAAATGTATGTGTGTGTATATGTACAACTGTCTACACACAAATACATACACATACGTATGTATCTCTAAAGTTTTTAGTTACCACTAAAAGGGAATGATTGTGATATAAATAGAAGAGGAATGTTTGAAAGGGTATTCGATGGGTCACAGATTCCCTAGAAGGATGGCACAATAAAAGGAATCAAGGCAGGCTAAGTGATATAAACCATAACCCAAATCCTGTTTAGAAACTTTTTCACTGCCATTACTGCCTCTGGAGATGTTCTCACTGTGATTGCTGTAAAGAATTCTCCTGTGTCCTGGCTTCTTTGTGTCACATCTGATTAGACAAACCTGTATTTTGGATCCTAGCCTTGGCTACCAGGGGACTGAGGGAAAACAGCTATTTGATTTCAATTTCTGTAGTGGGAGGCAACCATCATACACATAACAGATGCATCCCTCAAAAACAAGAGAAATGAACCATGGATTTACAGATATGCATGTACATGCTGTGTGTGTGTCTGTGTATACGTGCTTAAATTCCATTTATTTTGCTCTGTGTAACATGATACTGACACTACATTCTGTCTAAAATATCTTATATATTGATTTGGTATTTATGGCATAAACAACAAATACTTAACTGTGTTGCACACAAAAGGCTTTTTTGCCCATTCAGAAATGTGTAGTTTGAGAGATAAGATCAGTCTACATGGAATATCTAAGGAACACTGTAAGACAGTATATATAAATTTTACAGCTGATAATTGCTGATGAAAACTAGAAAGTAGACAGATTTAAGTAACTGGAATAGGTGAGATGTTTTGTGTTAAAAGTACTGATTTGAAATGGACTTTGAAAGATGGACAGTATTTATTACATATTGCCTGCATGTCACTGTTTACTTAGCTATGCATATGTGGAAAAGTATGCTTAATATATGAATATATTTTCATACAGAAGATACACTTGGATAGTCAGTTAATTGATTAGCAACCTGCATATAGAACATTTTGGGGGTGGATTCAATTTTTCTCAAATAATCCTTTTACTTTTATAATAATGCCCTGTACTAACTCCAATTCTATAAATTTTGATCAAGTATATATACATAAATAGTGTACAAGTTGTAAATTTGAACATCTTCATAAATTTTCACAAAGTGATCACACCATATAATCACCACACGGATTAAGAAATATGACATTTCCAGCATTAGAAACCCCCAGGTTTTCTCTATCCAGTCACTGTCTTCAACAGGAACTAATATCTTGACATTCATCGCCAGAGTCTTGCCTTCTTTAGAACATTATATAAATGGAATCATACAGAATGTGTCATTTTATTATAGCTTCCTTCACTCAGCATTGTATTCCTGAGATTCAAACATTACACAAAAGTATTTTTCCCCCTTCATTTCTATGTAGTATTCCATCATATGAATATGTTACAATTTATCCATTTTATTCAATTTTATTGTTTGCAAATTTTGGATTTATTAATATGGTTTCTGTGAACATTCTTTGTGGTGTACACATGCACATTTATTTGGCAAACATTTAGGAGTGAAATTTCTTGTCATAAGATATACCTGTACTAAGTTGTTAGTAGATATCACAAACTGGCTTACGAAAGTGGTCACTCCAATTTATACCTCTTTCTACTGTGTAGGAGGATTCCAATTCTCCAAATTCTTGCCAATGCTTAAAATATTACCAGTTAAAATATTACCAGTGTGTGTTTAATATTCACCATTCTGATTTTTGTATAGTGGTTTCTCACTGTCATGTTACCCAGGATTACTTAGATGATTAATAAAGTTTAAAAACCTTTTATAAGTTTATTGGACATTTGTATATCGTTTACTTTTTTTGATGAAACACCGGTTCAAGTCATTTGGCCATTTTGCTACTTGGTTGTTTGTTATTGATTTATAGTTATTTTTATGTTCTAGATGAGTTTCCAATATAGTTAGCTTAGTTGCTATCTAAGCTAACTATATTGGAAATATTTTCTTCTCTGCTATCTAGCCATCTATATTGCAAATATTTTATATTTACCTTTTCAGTCTCATCTTTTGATTAACAAATATTTTAATTTTATTCAGGTCCAATTTATCAAATTTTTTTAATGTTTCATGTTTTGTGTTGTGTATCAGGGTATATGTTTTGTGTTGTGTGTTGGGGTATGTGTGCGTTTGTGTATGTATGGATGTGTGTATGTGTTCTGTTTAAAAACACTATGATTATCCAATTGAACAAACATCAATTACTCATAAAATCATAACCTCACCAATATACTGTAGTGGAATATTTTTCATAAATCATGTGACCACATTTATGCAGGTCTCTTTTTAGTTTCTCTATTCTGTCCCAGTGGTCAACTTGTATATCCTTGCTGGTCTAGAAAACTAACAGTATCTCCAGATGGCAAATGATGGTAACAGATTGACTTTTAGGCAAAAGATCAAATCCAGAGCACTCTCGGGGAAAGTGGTCTAAAGATAAGGCCAAAAGTGTGTTAATAAAGTAATTTTCTTTTTTTTTTTTCTTTTGAGATGGAGTCTGGCTCTGTCACCCAGGCTGGAGTGCAGTGGCTGAATTTGACTCACTCCAACCTCTGCCTCCCAGGTTCAAACCATTCTCCTGCCTCAGCCTCCCAAGTAGCTGGGATTACAGGCATGCACCACCACGCCCGGCTAATTTTTGTATTTTCAGTAGAGACAGGGTTTTGCCATGTTGGCCAGGCTGGTCTTGAACTTCTGACCCCAAGTGATCTGCTTGTCTCAGCCTTCCAACGTGTTGGGATTACAGGCATGAGCTACCGTTCCCAGACAATAAAGTCATTTTCTCACTTCTTTCCCCTAATCACTAACTATCTCATAAATTTATGCTGTTTTCATGTCTAAAACACCAAAAGCAATGGCAACAAAAGCCAAAATAGACAAATGATATCTAATTAAACGAAAGAGCTTCTGCACAGCAAAAGAAACTATCATCAGAGTGAACAGGGAACCTACAGAATGGGAGAAAATTTTTGCCATCTATCCATCTGAGAAAGAGCTAATATTCAGAATCTACAAATAAACAAATTTACAAGAAAAAAAACCACCAAAAATGGGCAAAGGATATGAACAGACACGTCTCAAAAGAAGACATTTATGCAGCCAACAGACATATGAAAAAATGCTCATCATCACTGGTCATTAGAGAAATGCAAAATCAAAACCACAATGAGATACCATCTCATGCCAGTTAGAATGGTGATCATTAAGGGCCAGGCGTGGTGGTTCATGCCTGTAATCCCAGCACTTTGGGAGGCCCAGGCAGGTGGATCATGAGGTCAGGAGATTGAGAACATCCTGGCTAACATGGTGAAACCCTGTCTCTACTAAATACAAAAAATTAGACAGGCGTGGTGGTGGGCGCCTGTAGTCCCAGCTATTCGGGAAGCTGAGGCAGGAGAATGGCATGAACCTGGAAGGCGGAGGTTGCAGTGAGCTGAGATCACGCCACTGCACTCCAGCCTGGGCGATAGAGCAAGACTCTGTCTCAAAACAAAACAAAACAAAATAAACAAACAAAAACAAGAATGGCAATCATTAAAAAGTCAGGAAACAACAGATGCTGGAGAGGTGGGAAAAATAGGAAAGCTTTTACACTGTTGGTGGGAGTGTAAATTAGTTCAGCCGTTGTGGAAGACAGTATGGTGATTCCTCAAGAATCTGGAACTGGAAATACCATTTAACCCAGCAATCCCTTTACTGGGCATATATACAAAGGATTATAAATCATTCTACCCTAAAGACACATGCACATGTATGTTTATTGCAGCACTATTCACAATAGCAAAAACTTGGAACCAACCCAAATGTCCATCAGTGATAGACTGGATGAAGAAAATGTGGCACATATATACCATGGAATACTATGCAGCCATAAAAAAGAATGAGTTCACGTACTTTGAAGGGACATGAATGAAGCTGGAAACCATCATTCTCAGCAAACTATCGCAAGATCAGAAAACCGAACACCACATGTTCTCACTCATAAATGAGAGTTGAACAATAAAAACACATGGACGTAGGGAGGGGAACATCACACACCAGGGTCTGTCAGGGGTGGAGGGCTAGGGGAGGGATAACATTAGGAGAAATACCTAATGTGGGTGACGGGTTGATGGGTGCAGCAAGCCTCCAGGGCACATGTATACCTATGTAACAAAACTGCATGATCCGCACATGTAACCCAGAACTTAAAGTATAATTTAAAAATAAGTATGCTGCTTTCTTCATTATCATAACAGTTCAGGCTGTCAGTTCTTGCCTAGGTTATTTTAAATCACCTACTGTTTTTTATCCCTGTTTTCACAATTTTACTAATCAGTTCCATCTTTAAGTCCTTCCAATTAATTCTTTTCTTACAAATATGGCCCAGCATCTGCCTATGAAAAGCAGGGCCATTGCTTACATTACTATTTTATCTCACCTTTTTTCCTCTTGCATTAATCTGCCAGCACAGTCAAAAATAGTTGCCCAAAGCTTAAGATTTTAGTTTCACAAAGCTGTGCTTTTACCCTTGTATGTCCTCTGTGAGGAATTTTCCACTAATTTTCTGACAAGCTCTTATTCATTCTTAAAGTACCACCTCAAATTATAAATTCTATATGAAGCTGTTTCTCATTGCTTCTTCACAGAAATTAATTATTTACTTCTATTTACTGGGTGCTAACTGATATTATTTCTACTGTATCTTCACATGCATCTTCATATCCCAATATCTGGCAAAAACTAGGTGCTTAATAAGTGTTGATTGAATTGAATCAGAATCAAAAATTTAGATTTTCCCCTAACATCATTTACTCCTCTCCACACAAAAAAAGTAACAATATGGATTATAATTAAATGCTAAACATGAGAGTTTATACATAGTACAAGAAAATAAAATTGATATTAAACCTAATACAGAATGCGCAAACAAAAAAAGAATGTCTCTCTAGAATTATAAGTTTTAAAAAACTTTTTAAAAGGAGTACACTGAACCTCCACATACCCATTACTCAGATAAAAAATTATCAATATCTTGTAATATGTTTCATCTCTTTTTATATTTTGCCTTTGCTGAACAATCTTAAAAGGAAATCAAAGATGACAGTATATCTCACATTTACATATATAATTTTTTTAAAAAACAGACATTTTCTTATAAAGCTCTGTGGTCATAACTGATAGAGTAAGCAATTTTTGCTGTCATTCAATATCCAGTCAATGAGATTTCCATGATGATTTCAAAAATGCCTCATTAAGGTTGGTTTGTTCGAATCAAAATTCACGTAAGTTCCACTCATTGCATTTGTTCTTCATGTGTCTTGTGATTCAGATTTTTTATTCCCTCTGTGGTGCTTCTAATTGTTATTCAATTCCCTCATGCTATTGAATTTTTGCAAATACTGGATTAGTGATATTCCACATTCCAGATATGCTTATTTGCTTCTTTTCAGTGTCATTTAGCTAACTTTCATTTATCTACTGTAAATTAAGTTAGCTGTGAATCTTAATTAGATTTAATTCCAAGGTTTTTATTTCATTTGTTTTCCAAGAGTGCTTTACAGATGATGTGTGTCATATTTCATCACATCTCAGGACCTTAGTTGACTGCTTAGTTCACCTTTAGTGATGCTAAGACTCATGAGTGGAGACAGGTCTTGGCAATCTAATCTCGTCAGTATAAGTATCTCTTAACCTTTCATCTGATGTTTTTGTTAATTTATAATCATTGCCTGAATTCACTATTTTTTTTTCTGCTAGGAGTTGCAAAACAGATTTCACGTTTTATCATTTCTTCCACATTTATAGCTGGAATTTTTTAGCAAAGAGGAAATTTCCCCTCAGCAACTAGAAATATTTGATTATCTTGAAACTTAGTGAATGCAGGAAAGGCAGCATCATGCCTTTCAATAGCCAGTGTTCAGAGTTTTTGCCTTAGTTATGTCCTATGACACACATTGAGGCATATTTTTTCTTTTTTTAAAATCAAAATCATTTTGAACTCATATTTTTTTATATTTAGTTTTCATCAGTTGCACTCATCAGATTTTTAGTGATCAAATTGCTCTTCCTTTGGCCAAAGGAGCATTTCAATGTGTCTCCTGTTTTCTTGAGATAGCCCCTTGTTCCTGAAGACATCCTTTTTTTCTGGCACAAGAGATTTTAGCCTTTAATCCTATATATTCCAGCCCAGACTTGGTATCAGCCTTGTTTTCTTGGAATCAGCCTTCAAGAAGCCCTGGGTGCCAAGTTACTTTTTATTGTGTTAATCATTGATTCTAGGCTTTTTAAGTGGACAAAGCTAGAAAATACATAGTCTTGAAAACAGGACAAAATATTTGAGAGTCTATAATGGTATTTCTAATACATATGCAATATTACGGTATTTTTACATAATTTGTCTGATTTTAACCTTTTATCTTATTTTATACTAAAACTTTTGGCTCCTAAAAACAGTAATATGATTCTTAACTTGCATTTTCTATAGTATAAATAGTTTAAAATGATAATATTAATACAACTAATAATTAAACTACATAAAATTTCGCATATAAATAAAATTATATAAAAATAGAATAAAGTGTATCCTACAAGATTGTATAGTTCAAATCCTGTCATCTAAAGTCACTTGAAATAACTCATCTCTGTGTGTTTATATTACAACTGGTACACAAACTCTTAAGTATGAACGAAAGATACAGACATTTTTTGACATAAAATAACTCATGAAATTTACCTACCACATACTTTATGTTAAGGAATTTCTTGAAGATTTCCTCCAGTAAGAAAAATTAAAATAAAATAAACCAAGAAAGATTTAGGAATCCGGAAATAGTGCATTAACTTTAAGAACATAAGCAAGAAACTTCCCCAAATGGCAGACAGCTGAGATCCTAGAGATCAACCAGCCCAGAATTGAAAAGGGTCACCAAGCCTTAGGAAGATAGCCGAAACAAAACTATGTATCCCATGGACAATTTCAACAGAATGCCTGAGATAGTGAAATAATTTAAATATATAATGAAGTTATTATATAGAAGAAATAGAAAAAAACAATTAGAAAAACCAAAAGCTCTAAAAGGAATTCACAGAACACTCATTGGCTCTGCAGTGAACCTTCCCAAGCTGATAACAACTTGATTTCACTTAATGACTTCTAACTTTTTGCATCAATATGTGGACAAAGCACAGAAGATTTAATTGTGCTCATGGAGAAGAACATAAATATTATGAACATTGTCTATAAAAAAGAAATTAGGAGACAAAGTGGGGAAATACAGGCAAAGCAAAAGTAGGTATATTAATATCCTCATTCTACAAATGAAGTCAAGAGATATGCTTCATGAAGTAAACAATTAAGGATTTTAATATCTTATTCAAATACACAAAGGACATTTATAATAATAAAAAAAGAACTGAAGCAAAAACTATTAAAATGTGTGGTCTTTGTGAGAGCAGAACACTGTGTATGGCTGGGAAAAGTAACTGTTAATTTTTTTTAAGTGTATTAGTTCATTTTCATACTGCTATAAAGAACTGCCCAAGACTGGGTATTTGATAAAGGAGATTTAATTGACTCACAGTTCAGCATGGCTGGGGAAGCCTGAGGAAACTTACAATAGTGGTGGAAGGTGAAGGGAAAACAAGGCACCTTCTTCACGAAACGGCAGGAAAGAGAAACGCGGAAAGAAGGGAGAAGACCCCCTTATATAACCGTCAGATCTTAGCGAACTCATTCCCTATCACAAGAACAACATGGGGAAAACCACCTCTATGATTCAATTACCTCTACCTGCTCCCAACCTTGACAGGTGGGGATTATGAGGATTACAATTCAAGATAAGATTCTGGGTGGGGACACAGCCAAACCATACCAGTAAGCCATCTAGTAATAATAGATTAATCATGTGCATGGAATACATTGATTAAAATGTATACTATTAATATTTACAGTAGAAGTATTAGATGGCAGAATGACCACTTCAAGAAATGTATCTCACAGTATAAAGCTGGTGAAAATCTCCCAGGATGCCAGTTAAAGAATAAATTATTGAAAGTTGTAAAAGAATGGATGGTCCATATGAAGACCAGAAAATCGAAATACTACCTGTGAGTAATTGGTGTGCCTAAATGAATAACAATAAATGATATCAATAAAATAGAAGCTGTATTCAAAGACAGAAGAAAAATTTTCATACCTGATATAACCCTCAATCAAAAGACAAAAATGGCTTATTCTACAAGAATTTTAAGTTTTATAAAAAGTAATACTTGGAGCTACAGATCTGAATAAAGTTATGATATTTAAAAATGAGAGTGAGATTACAACATCGTATCGCACTTTTTTTTTAAGTTGACTTATAGAGACAGAGACATTGGGATAGTGGAAGACTTCCCTTTCCTAACATTTGACTAATATATGAGCACCTATATAGAGCCGGGTAAGCAAAGTAGTGATACAAGAATTTGAGATGGAAATAAACTGTTTTCATATGAAGAAGTCCCAAAGAAAGATACAAGGATTGAGAAAGTATTCCGCCAATGAATATCACATTCTGAAACAAGCACATGAAGGGAAGATAGGACAGGTATAGCACTGATATTGACAGCAAGGATTTAAAACTGTATCTCCTATTCACATTTTGATCCATCTTAATTCCTGGTTGCATGAGGCTGATTTTGCATGTCTAAAATCTGCCGGAAGCAAACATATTTTCTCTCTGTAAAATAATAACATCATATCAAGGCACAACTTATTTCAAGGAACTTTAATGTCATATATTAAACACATGAGTAGAGGTAGCTGGAATGTAGCGTGTAGACACATGTATACACACACACACAAACACACAGAAAAACATAAGAGGCATATACACCATGGTGAAAAGTTCTAACATATGTGTAACTAGAATGACAGAATAAGGGCAGTAAAAGAATGGGAAGACCAATATTTGAAGAAATAACAGCTGTTTATTTACCAAAACTTGCAAAAAGTTTCAAGCCACCGAACTAGGAACCCTAAATGAAATAAATATAATGAATGCTTGAGCAAAGCATAGTAAAACTACCAAAAAACCAAAGTATAAGGAAAAATCTTAAAAAGGCCAGAAAAAAGACATAATACTTAAAAAGAAGTAATAAGTGTATCAGCTGACTTTCTAAAAGGAAGTAGCAAGCAAATAATAAGACGATATTCTCAAAGTAGCTGATAGAAAACAGCTGCCAATCTAGAAGTCTATGCCAAGCAAACATACCCTATAAAAGTGAGGATGACATCTTCAGAGACTATAAAATCATTAGAATTAATCACCAGCAAGTTTGCAACGAAGAAAATATACTTCAGGAAGAAGAAAAATGATCTCTGATAGAAACTTTGAGGTGTAAGAGTTAATAAAAAGGAATAAGGGTAAATTTGAATAATTTTAAAAGGATGTCAAATATATAAAATTAAGTCATTAATAAAAATAATTTTGTGACATGCTGAGAGAACAAAAATTCCACAAGCCATCACTATTATTGAAATAAAGTGGACCCTTAGTTCCTGAGAGAGCCAGCCAATTTCTTCTTTATATTTATGTCTGATATATATAGCCCTTAAGGACCTCCCATTCTTGATGAGAACTGAACTCTAATTTTGATCTCTCTGTATTCTCAATTTGTTGAAAACTCTTATTTTCAGGCTCTTGGCCACATTGTCTAGGCTCAGTAGGTGCCCTAAGGAGAAGAGTAGTCTCAAATGCTATGTATCTTCACTGTCTTAGTAGCTGTCCAAATTGTTTTTTTAAATTTGGCCTGTCTTTTCTGGGTGTTTTCTGCAGGAATTTTTGCCTAAATTACATTGTCTTGAATTACTAAAAGTGGTTTAGGTACACTTAAAACTTAAAAATTACCCTCATTGTTATTAAAATTTCTCCTTTCCAAATAAATAGAAGGTGAAATAAATATAGATTACAAACACCAAAAGATACAAAACCACAGAAACGAAAAGACAACACAAGAAAAAAACATAAAGTAAGTTAGCTGAGGTAGGAAAAAGGCATATATAATGTAACAATTAATATAAATTGAAAAATTTATAATGAGAAAAAAGATGAGCAGATAGGATTAAAAATTCAATCCAATTAAATATTATTTTCAGGATATATACATAGGAGAATAATTAAGAAAGTTCATAAGAAAAAAATGAAGAAATAAAGCATACATTGCAACTCAAAGGATGATTTAAAATATTTTTTCTCAAAATAAAAGATATGATTAAAAATAAAACATTAAATCAATTAAATATTTGTGTTTTTCATTTATAATTTCTCTACATTGAAATTGTTATGGACTAAACGTTTGTGTCTCCTCAAAATTCATATGTTGAAACTCTAATCCCCACAGTGATGGTATTAAGTGGTGAGGCCTTTGGGAAGTGATTAGTTTATGCAAGTGGATTTCTCATTACTGGAATTAGTGCCTTTAAGAAAGAAACCCCAGATAACTCTCTTGCTCTTTTTCCACCAGGTGAGGATACAAAGAGAAGTTGATAGTCTGCCGCCTAGAAAAAAGCCCTCACCAGCACCTGACCGTGCTGATACTGTGATCTGGAACTTTCAGCCTCCGGAACTGTGAGAAATAAATGTTCGTTGTATAAGCCACCTGGTCAATGTTGATTTGTTATAGCAGCCCAAGCTGATTGAGACTGATCAAGATAAAGGGTTAACTATTACATGATATAACTGTGCTGAAATACTTAAAGAAAAATACTTGCAGACTGAAAAAAAAAAGGAATTTAATTGTAACCTAATTTTTTTTTTTTTTGAGATGAAATCTTTCTCTGTTCAGCTGGAGTGCAGTGGCACCATCTTGGCTCACCGCAACCTCTGCCTCCTGGGTTCAAGCAATTCTCCTGCCTCAGCCTCCTGAGCAGCTGGGATTACAGGCACCCACCACCAAGGCCTGCTAATTTTTGTATTTTTAGTAGAGACGGGGGACAGGGTTTCACCATGTTGGCCAGGCTGCTCTTGAACTCGTGACCTCAAGTGATTTGCCTACCTCGGCCTCCCAAAGTGCTGGGATTACTGGCTTGAGCCACCACACCCGCCCTCTGTAACCTAAAGTTAGAATAAGATTTTTAACATGCTTTTCTGTTTTTGTCTGGGATAAAAAAGACCAATACAAAAAAGGATAAGGAGTAGTGATTATAAAACCTCAGAGTGTACGGGCATCACCTGGAGAGCTGTAAATGTGCAGATGGTTGGCTTTGCCTTCACAGATTTGGTTTCGATTGGTTTAGGGTGAGTCCCAGGCACTGCTGGTTTATAAAAGCCTCCCAGGAGATTGCAATGTACAGACAGAATTGAGAGCTAATGATGTTGAGGTAGATAAGCTGAAAATTATTTTAATAAAGGTAATAGCACACAATATATTCAACTTGATATCATACAGAATATATCTCTTTAAAAGAGCACCTACAAATTATTTTTAAAAATTACTCACATACAAAGTCATAAAGAATCTTCAGTCAAATCTATAATTTTAAAATGGCATACTCTATATTCTCTAATCACAATGTAACACATTGAAAACAAAACATAAAGTGCACTTTAACAACTAGACCCAAAGCAAAAATCAAACTGTAACACAATATTTAGAAAATAGAATAGGGATGAGTTATAATGATTTTAATTATTATTGTAATTATTATAATATGTAAAATATGTGACTAAAATTTTCCTCAGAGAAAAATTAACACTACAACCTAATAATTAAATAATTATTTTATTCCCAAATGAGACAGAGATTGGAAAGGAAAGGATTAAAGCAGCTGGCTTGTGATTCATTCATTTCCTTTAGTGGAGGGATACATCCAGAGGGGAAAAAAAGGGTGACCTGGTTAATCTCCTTGTCAACTAGACTTCTGGGTAAACAGACTAAAAGTATTTGCTGAGAGGAAGAGAGTTTATCTAAAGGATTCCCTTAGGGGAACATTACTAGCTAATGGGTTACTGAAAGTAAATATATATATATATATATATATATATATATATATATATATATTTGGAAATATGAGGCATGGCTCACTGGAAAATGGCAAATGAGTTATGTAACTCTCTGGGTATATAATAGAGATTTTTAAATTATTATTTATTTATTTTTAACCTAACTTCAATGCTCCTCTTGCCATGTAAAGTCACTTAGAACACTCTAGAGACCTCGTCTATTATTCTGGACCAGAGTGCATGTTTGATATGGGAAGAAAGTATGTGAGAATCACTCAATGTCTCAGACCATTTTTGGCTTTATCTGAGCACTTTGAAGTCCCTGTGTCCTTGATACTGTTGGCAAAGTTTCATCCTAAGATCCATGACTTTGGGGAGTCTGATTCAGCACTCCAATTATTTGTTTTAGATTAGAAAATAAAGAGAAAAATAAATGAAGTAATATTGTCTCCAAGATTTTAGAGAGAGAATAATATAATAAATGTAAAGAATATAGAGAAAATAATTGATAAAAATCACAAATTAATCCATATGAAAATAGAAATTAATTGTACTGATAAATCCAGTGGTTATTTTATGAGGAAATAATCAAATTAATGAATGAGTAGTTAGTATATTTGTTAACTAAAGAAATTCCTATCGGTTATTTTTCTGGGGCATTCCCTCCTCTCTGCCCCTCAAATTTCATCTGCGTTAGCTTGCCCAGGCTTTAATCATTCCCTCCTCACCTCTGCAAGATGATCATGCTCTGATGGGGCTCTCTATATCTGTGATATGAGCTGGGTAGTCCCTCCATACAGTCAACTGGGATTAGCATAGGGGTCACTCCACTTCCATACCTTTGCTGCCAGCATTTACTCCTTTTGTCCAGTGTTGGAAAACAGTTGTTTCATTTACTTTGTCCAGTTTTACAGTTGTTTATTAAGGGAAGACAGATCTGGTAACATTTACTTACTCATGGCAGGAAAAAAGTATACTTAAAAGCAAAAATAAAGAGAGAAAGGAAGAAAAGAATAAAAGGGAGCAAGAGAAAATAAAATTCCATAAAGGAGAAGAAAAAGAGAGAGAAAGAATACTCAAATGCAGTAATGAGTAAAAGGATAAACTCTCATATTCAAATACAAGTAATGGAATAATAAATGCTCTTGAAAAACAGAAAAAAAATAAGCTGATTTAAATAGTCACCCCAAATACTTCACAAAAATCAACAAAGCAGATAATCTACTAGTTTATAAAGAAACAGAAAAAAATGTTTAATTTAAAAAGGAGGGAATACAAGAACTTATATATGAAAAATCTTTTAGATACATACACATTTTAAATAATTTGTATAATTATACATTTAAAATATGGATAAAATTTGTTAATTTCCAAAAAAAATTACAAATTTCCAAAATAAAAGTAATAACCTTGGACAAAATTATAACGTAATTGGATTTTACTTATTTATTTTTTATTTTTTTGAAACACAGCTTCGCTCTTTGTTGCCCAGGCTGGAGTGCAGTGGTGTGATCTCGGCTCACTGCAACCTCCGCCTCCTGGGTTCAAGCGATTCTCCTGCTTCAGCCTCCAGAGTAGCTAGGATTACAGGCACCTGCCACCACACCCGGCTGATTTTTTATTTTTAGTAGAGATGGATGGGGTTTCACCATGTTTGCCAGGCTGGTCTTGAACTCCTGACCGCTGGTGATCCACCTGCCTCACCCTCCCAAAGTGCTGGGATTACAGGTGTGAGCCACTGTGGCTGGCCAATTTAATTGTTTTAATTGACAAAAAATACATACATTATGATGTAAAACATGTTTTGGTATGTGTATTCATGGTGGAATGGCTAAGTCTAGCTAATTAACATATGCATTATTGCACATACTTTTTTGTGGTAAGAACACTTTCTTAGAGATTCTCTTTCTTAGATGTCTGCTTTCTTAGATTCTCTAGCCTAGAATACATTGTTATAGCCAAAGGATATGAAATCAGTAACTTGAAGAGATATCTTCATTTCTATGTTCATTGCAGCATTACTCACCATAGCCAAGATACGGAATCAACCTCAGTGTCCATCAATGAATGAATGGATAAAGAAAATGTATATACACATACACACACACACAATGGTATATATACACAATGGAATACTGTTAAATGTTCAAAAACAAGAGATCCTGTAATTTACAACCACACGATGTACCTGAAGGCCATTATATTAAGTGACATGAGCGAGGCACAGAAAGACAAAGTATATGAATATGTGGAATCTAAAAAAGTCACTCTCATAGAAACAGAGTAGAAAGATGTTACCAGAAGCTAAGGGCTGGGGGAGTTGAGGGATGATCAAAAGAAGCCTACCTTTGCAACCTTTTTACTTCCTCAATATGATGGTCCAGATGATTTTGTAGATGACTTCATTCAAACTTAAAAAAGAACTCCACATTTTAATCAATTTAATAGTTAAAGTAATAGGGAAAGAATGAAAACTCCAGAACTTATTTTTGCAAAGCTAGTATTTCTCTCATGGAAAATATCCAACAATGGTTAATCAATAAAGGAAAGTGACTATTTATAATTTACAAAACAGAATAAATCTGAGAGTTACTTAGGAAATTTTTACAAAAAAAATAGAATATAGACTAAAATTCCAAGCTAAAAGTATATTGAAATTCTATATTAAAGGCTGCATATAAGCAATGTGACAAAATACAAACTTATTAATGAATCAAAATTGTAGCTGTTGAAAAAGATTTAAGTGTACTTGTAGGAAATAAATTAAATGATTAAAATGACATTTATAGCAGCGAGAAAAAAGTGAATTATTTAAAAATGGTTTGAGAATACCTAGGTTACCACACACAAAAAACATATAAAAATCTCATCCTGGCGGAGTGTGGTGGCTCACGCCTGTAATCCCAGCACTTTGGGAGGCCGAGGCTGGTGGATCTCCTGAGGTCAGGAGTTCAAACCCAGCCTGGTCAACGTGGTGAAACCCCATCTCTACTAAAAATACAAAAATTAGCCGGGCGTGGTGGCAGGCGCCTGTAATCCCAGCTACTCGGGAGGCTGAGGCACGAGAATCACTTGAACATGGGAGGCAGAGGTTGCAGTGAGCTGAGATTGCGCTACTGCACTCCAGCCTGGGTGACAAGAGTGAAACCCCATGTTAAAAAAGAAAAGAAAAGAAAAAAATCTCATCCTATCCCATACTTTACAGCAAATTCCTAGTGGCTTAAGGACTATATATATATTTTTAATGGAATTATGGAAGCTCTAGAAGAAACGGAGTTTAATATTTATATAATTTTATAGAAAGAGTTCTATCTATGACATGAAAGGCAAAAGTCATAAAATACATACAGTATTAATAAATTTGACTATATTCATATGTTCATAGTCATAATATTGAAAGGAAACTGGTGGCTTTTACTTTTAGTCATAATGGATTTAATAGGGACTAGAACTGCCCTACCGTCTTCGATTTAACAAAAACAGACAAAATATAAGAAACGATACTTTTTAGACTTTGAAAACAGCCTGCACAGATGAGTAATTTCTGAAAGAAGAGAAAAAATTGAGAACTCTAAAATGCTCAGTTTCCATTGCCCGAGGAGAGTTTTCAGGCTTCAAAGCTCAGAGGGGGAATCCAAACAGAGCCTGGTGGTCTCCTTTGGTTGAGGAGACCAGTTGAGTATTCAGGGAAGACAAAGCAGCTAGAGTTCACAGGGCAGGGGACTGGGAAAGAGAAAGTGGCACATCAAAGGAGCTCTGGAGATAGGCAGAGGGTTCTCCTTGAATGTGCAGATGTGTACTGATCCGAACATGCACTAAGCTGAGGAAAGAACTGCTGAAAGGAGGAGTGAAGCAATGCCGAAGTTCACACAGGGCTCGGACTAGTTGATATCCAAAACCAGAGTGAAAAATAAAACTCTACCAATATTCAGAGTGTCAGGTGAAGTACTCAGTGGAGGGGACAAATTTGCCCTAGACTAATGACCTCTCTGGTTCTAATCATCAGAAGTTAGAAGCAAACCCTAAAGTTCAATATGTAGAAGTTAAACATTTTTATAAAAGCATAAAATATTATTAGTTTTATATTAACTAACTTTATACGCTACTTTCCAGTTCAC
Source organism: Homo sapiens (assembly GCF_000001405.40). Lineage (NCBI taxonomy): Eukaryota > Metazoa > Chordata > Mammalia > Primates > Hominidae > Homo > Homo sapiens. The sequence goes on from NC_000002.12 coordinate 49,449,066, forward strand.
AAAATGCTTCTTATAAATATTATCTCATCTTAGATGTCGCTTCTTTTGTATTGTAAATTCAAATATCTAAGTTAAATAGTTTGAAAGTGATCCAGACATTTGACAAGCCTCACATATTGAAGACATACCCTGATCATCTTGCCTTGTAAAAATCAGGTTAGAGATGGCTGTCTTGGAGACAGACTGACAAGTATATACAGGATTTGAGCTGCAAAAGGACGTCTTTTTGTGACTGAATAAAGGACATGGTGTACTTAGGTTTACCTTTGTCTCAAACCTTATCCCAGAAATTAAGTTTTCACCAGTAGGAGTACTAAATTTTCAAGATGTAGTAAAAAACTTCAGGTAGTTTAATTCAGGGTCAGGTCTCTTTGTGTTGCAGGAGGCTTTATCTTAACAACTGCTAGTTTTGTTACCTGTCAACTGCGCTTGTGCCAATTCAAGGTATGAATTTATTTCTGATGCTAAAAATTTCTATATAAAGTAAAAGTGACCAGCCTTATAGCCAAGGTCAACTGACTTACATAGTCGGCAAGGAGAAACACCAGAATCCTTAGAAAGCTACTTTTGGGGAAGTCAGATATGATATCTGTGCAACTGTTCAATCATCAGTGCTTCTAGTTTTTAGTGTTTGTTTAAGCATACACAGTGTTCTTAACAAGTCAAGCAGTGAAATAAAATACATTCATTATTAATAAAAATGTATGTCAACTAAGGAATACATCACGTAACAAGACAAATAAGAATGGGCTCAAAAAGAGTACATTCCTGTAAGTTCTCAATAAATCTCTTCAAATAGTAACTCCTTCCTAATACATAAGTGGTTTTCATGCTATAAAATTGCATTTTAATATGAGATATCTGTTGTTAATTTCCTGTTTGATATAAATCATCGATGGTTAGCTTTCTCTTGATAGATATTCTTAATATTTATACTTCAATTAATGAAACATAAACTCTGTCCAATTGCTTTACACAGGTATACATCAATGAGTCTTTCAATTGTTCTTCAAAAAGGCATGTGGCCAATTATTTTGAAATAAATATTATGCAAAACAAAACCACTTGCAAATAAGAAATAAATGAGCTTTAGTCTTCTCAGGTATCATGTTTCTTCAATTGGTAAAGATCTATATTATAATTTTTCATATTTTGATTATCAACTATTCTTCCTAAGATTAATCCTTGATATCAAACTTATGACAAAGATAATTTGAAATACACAGTAAACTCAGTTATTTTGTCTTTGAATAGAGGTGAGGTCAGAACTCATGCTCTACTCATGGCAGTTCTGTTTATCAGCATCCTCCTCTGTGCTCTCTGCTTAGGTTTCCTGCCTGTCGCTAATGAAGCTGTAAGGACTAAACAGACTTAAGGCTTTGTCTTTATCTCTGAAAAATAAGTAGTGATTTTCTTCTTTCTTCTCAAGAAACATGTTTGCCACAAGATAAGTGTTTTATATAGAGAGAGTGAAAATCATTAATTGCTTCCCACCTCTCCTTTTTTGTAACAGGTACAACAGAAGATTTTAGAAAACAAACCAAAAATAAAGTCCTCTGATACAAAATGAGATCAGGTTCAATTGACTAGAGTGTCTTCCTCTTGTTTTCTGTAAAAGTATTTTCCCGTCTAAAGCTTATCAAGAAATGCACCCTCAAAATATTTTTTTATAGTAACATGTCAGATTCAAAATGTATTTTTTACAATGAGAGATGCTGGGATATTGAAAGATAAAAGAAAGCTAGGAGGGAAATTAATATTTTCACTTTAGGGTCATTCATAACATTTTTCTTCTTAGCAGAGTGTTAAAAAATAAATAGAGTTTTATTTCAAAGAATAGGAATTCAATATCAACCTTTGTATTATGCCTTAGAAATAATAGGGAGGGAAAAACCATTCATCACATACAACCCACAATTAAATCTTGTGAAGTAATAGGAAGAGCTCTTGCTCAGCCAGCCATCTGAATGGAAGGTGGAAAATAATGACTTGAATTGGCCACTAAATAAATAAGAGTAATTCTTGGACACCAACTCTTGAAAGAATCAACTGCTACTCAAACCAAGTCCCTGCTTCAGATTTAAAATCTGCCTATTCGGCTAAAAGGGAAACAAGTTACCAGAAGACGCAGATCACGTGAACATAGTATAATTGTGATACTACCACATTAAAAGTAATAAAAGTTCTATAAAAGGAAGCTTGAATACATTTTTTATGTCATTCAAGTCATTCTCTATCATGCAGTGTGCATGACAGTTAAAAGATTGTTCTTGGGAATACAAAACAGTTCAACTTCTGTTGAGGAGAATTTGGCAATTTTTGGAAGAATATGCCAAATTGGGTTTTTGACATTATGTCTAAGTATCTATACCAATTTACACCGGAAAAGATATGAAAAGACTCTTTTATTCTGCCATTATAATAGTGGAAGATTGAAAACAACCCAATTCATGAAATACACAATGATGGAACAAAGTCTGGTATACCAACACATTGAAATACCATGCAACAGTGTACAGAAATGAAGAACATCTATCACAGATATGGAGGGTTGTCCATTACATATAATTGGAAAAATCAAGGCAAAGAACAATATATAAAACATAATTACCTTTGCTAAAAGAAAGAAGTTATGGGCCAGGCGTGGTGGCTTACGCCTGTAATCCCAGCACTTTGGGAGGCTGAGACAGGCGGATCACTTGAGGTCAGGAGTTCAAGACCAGCCTGGCCAACATGGTGAAACTCTGTCTCTACTAAAATTACAAAAATTAGCTGGTCGTGGTGGGAAGTGCCTGCAGTCCCAGCTACTCGGGAGGCTGAGGCAGGAGAATTGCTTGAACCCAGGAGGCGGAGGTTGCCAGTGAACCAGGATCACACAGTTGTACTCCAATAGAGCGAGACTCCATCTCAAAGAAAAAAAAATAGACAGAAGTTATGTAACAATAGATCTAATATTACAAAAAGCAAAAAGACACTAAAAAGATGAACCAAAAATCAATAAAAATGGAGAGGAAGAAGAAACAGAGGAGGCAAGTAAAGATGAAAGCCTTTAAAAATATAACTTGTTATAAAGCTTTTCATTCTTAAGTGTTTTTAAAACACCTAAAATGAAATCTGATAAAAATAGAAAGCAACATGTAAAGTTAAAACCAAACCAGAAACAAAGAAAAAAAATTATCTGTATATCCAGTTAGTGATATAAACCACACAGAGATAAAAATTTTTAAAGCAACTTTTAGCTGCATTGACCTAGTAGAAAATAAGAACAACTAAAAATAAAAGAAATCTAACTTCAATCAGTAGTCTAGTTGAGAGTGGTAGTATTGATATCATGTTGAAACTACTTGATGTATGTCGTAGATTAATGAAAATAAGTAATTTTGTTAAGAAACAAAATTTAGCTTAAGATAAAAAAGACACAATTGTAAAAACCAAATCTTGAATAAGACTACATAAATTTGAATTGGAAATATATGTGTGAACTGCAAATTTTTTTTCTTTCTAAAAAAATACTTATTTCTTGGTAATTCCATGAAACAATGATGACTCAATAGCAATAAGCACACCTAATGCCTGGACTGCAGTATTTAAATACCACAAGAAAGCTGAGCAACTTGAGGTAATGAATCATTCCATATCTGGGTGGAAAATATACAAGATGAATTTAGAATATCTAGTTGTAATAGAAACCCAGAAAGTGATCAAATATAAATGAATTATATTAAAGGGACATAGGAACAAAAACATAAAGGAAATCTGGCCAAGAGTGAGAAAACTGGCACATGAAAAATCATAATGAGTACAATTGACTGTAGTATATTGAAATATACAAATTCATGTGTTCATAAGGTTACTCAAAAACATAAAGGGTTGGGGAAAACAAGACAGGAAACAAAACCGGCCAAAACGCAATAGGAAGCAACGAGGGCATCAACTCCTTACTCAGAAAATTGACAAAAGAAGAGGTTAAACATTTATCATGTTTTTCCTTCACGAGTTCTATTTCTGCGTAACTAAATGGTCCAAGGTAATGAGGGATTTTTGTTTATTTGTCTTTTGTATTTTGTGGAAAGAATTTAAAAAAAAAAAACAGAGAATGCCGTTTTAAACCTCTGACAAAATAATTGATTCAGGCAATTATTATCAGTGGATATAAAACTGTTGAAAAATTGACAGATTGACAGTGAACTTCATAATGATTGCATCAATCAACTACCACCTGAATCCTCTGATCAGTTTTAGTATCACTGAATGTGAGACAATAAAATACCACTTTTCTCTTTATGTGAGACAACATGAAGTGCAGAGTACCATTTTTGATGCATTCTTGACCAAAAACAACAACAACAACAACAACAAAAAACCGAGGGCAAACTCGAATCTAATTAAGTCTTTATCATTAACTTCTTTTGATATGAAATATAAGGAACAGAGCAACAAATTAAACCACACTAAGACGAAGTTGACAAACAAATGTAAATGGAAGACATTCTATAGGAGAGCTGATTTCGCTTCTGTGAAAAGTCAATGGCATAAAAATAAAGGAGGGCATCAGCTCCTGGTTAAAGTCTTAAGAGACATGTCACTCAAAAGTAAACTGTGAACAAAATGTTGCCTTAAAAATATTATTACAATGTGAGCATGAATTACATATTGATATCAAGAAACTGGTTTTTAAAATGTTTGACAATGACATTGTGGTTATGCAAGAAAATGCCCACATAGATGCTTACTGAAGAATGAATGGGTGAACTGTCATGAAGTCTGGCATTTACTTTACAATACTTTAGTAAAGAACAAAAGAAGGAAAAGGACGAATGAAACCAATATGACAAAATCTTAATAATTTTTAAATCTGGGTGATGAATATATAGAAGTTAGTTGTACTACTCTATTTGGTATATTTTTAAAAATTTGTAGTAATTTTTAAGTTGCAAAATCAATTACAAATTATTGTAATTATTTCTTAAATTTTTTTTTATTCATTGGATAGACAAAATTAATAAAAGTTCTGGAAAATAGTCAAGCTGATACTCTGGGCTCAGTTACTGCACCATTCTTGGTTCCAGGTAATGTTGAATCAAAAACATAGGTCTCAAGTAGTGACGATATAAATGGGAGGCTGTACTCTGATTTTCTAAAGAGACAGAGGCTCTAAGAATTTCAACCAAAGTAGTTTATATTGTATATTAAATATTTGTATGGAAAAGTAAATATATAACAAAAGGTGGACTACCTAAAAATTGCATTACAGGGGAATTATTTTTTCAAAATCTTTGATTTTTGAAAAACTTCTGATTTGTCATTAATCCACTTTACTAATATAGAAAAGCTGAATGTTAGCCCAATATTACCTTCAAGAAAGGGATCATGAAATTGAAATCACAACTTAAACACACACACACACACACACACACACACACACTTAACCTGGTATATACTCTGTGTCAGGCACCGCTATATGCCCTAGAATTACACAAATATGATGTGGAGAAACTAGAAGTTTAATGAGGAACACAGAAATCTGAATATTTAAGATGCTCAAGCTAAATTCGAACTCATGAGAAGGAGATAAAACAGAAGACAGATGAAACAATTTTTGTGAGGTCATTCCCTAGAGGAAAAAAATGCTTTCAGTGAACAAAAGCATGAAGCAGAGAATCAATATGGAAATCTATAGTGTATTATGAGTAGATTTGTGTTGCTTAAGCTCCAAGGTAAGGCACCAATTGTTGAATGGATCTTACTTTGAAACAGAATCCAAAACCAGATGAATAGGAGAGAATTCTTCATTTCTGAAAGAAAGAACATGAAATCAAATTATCATAGATAATGACACCAAAGAACTTAAATTTACTGACTAAGAAGAGCAAAAGTCAAAATACACACGTGAAGTACACAACAATTACACTATGAAGAAACATAAAACTATTGTTAAAGTCAAATGACTTTTATGTTGTTCTATTAACTTTCAAACATTGCATATGTGTATGGGTTTGTGTATTTAAAATGTATAAACAAGATATGAAAACAGAAAAGGAAGATAAACAGAAAAGGATGCCTCTGTCTAAACACATGACGGGGGAAAAGTGCTTCAACATAAATTTAATAGTTGCTGACCACTTTTGCACGTCGAATCATCATTCAAGCACATTTAAGAAACCATCATATTTTGATGAAAATTTAGGGTGAATCATTATACAAAGTTAAAAATCCTATCATACTATAAATGCCTATCCTTTCTTACACATTTTAGGCAAGTTTATTTTTGCATATAGTAGGTTTTCTTAAAGTTGGTCCCAACTCTACTAATAATTAGTTGCATATTTGCTCAATTCTGTAACCATGGTCAAGAGAAGACCATACAATTTCACAGTCAGATCAAAAAGTTAAGATGTAAATGAAGAGCTGACACAGCACTGAAAATAACTGTTACATCTTAGAAGGCAAAATTCCAGAAGTTAATTTTCTAGCAAGTTAAAGCTGATATCACAAAATACTAGTTGATATGACAGCTCCATCAATTTCTTCAAGATATCTGTGTGTCTGGGATTTTAACAAGGTGACATATTGAGGAAAGAGGCAGAAAATCATGAAGTAAGAAATTAAGTATTTTCTATGTTATAAAAAACATTTTAAAGTAAAGATCTAAAAAGAAATGTTCATTTTTTCATTATATTTCCAATTCTGTTTTCCTTTCCTGTTGTTTATTCTAAATTGTAAAAGTAACAAATTTGCATTGAGTATACATTTCTCAAATTCTATGCCTATTCAGAGAAGGCATTCTAAGAAATGGATTTTTTTGGCTGAAGTTTCAATAAGCTAACTATAAAATCAGACTTATAACTAATGTTTTCTACTCTACTCAAGTATGCTCAGCATTCAACCCATGAAGAAAGTGTAGCAGTTGAGCATCCATTCCTTTGAATTAAAGAATTTAGCAGGTCCATTTAGCAACATCACTATAGAGAGAAGCATAACCATACATTTTAAAAACGCATTGGGTTGGCATCAACAACTAAGGATATCAATAAAAAGTAAAAGATGAGGTTGATGGATTACAGAAACTCAGTTGGGAGAGAAAATGGAGAAGCAAACTAACATATAATAAAGTTAGTTGTTGAAGGTCAAATACATTTTGCAGTTTTTATTTTATGTTTGCTGTGCATATGTAGGTTTGTCTTTAAAGTTTTATAAAAGGAATTTTTAGTAAAGGTTTTCATGCTTTAATATGGAAAGTCTGTGGCCTAAGATATGCCATATATTAATGATGAAATAGTGGGTTAATTTCCAAATGAACCTCATCTTGTGTATGAGATAATATGGCTTGCTGCCTGCAGAGGCAATTACAGGTTCAAAACATTTGGTGTTGGACATCAATCTTGCTAAATCAATCGTTATAAATTATCTTACAAAGGTACCTGCAATTCAATGGCAAAACCTCAAGTAGAAAATCAGCAAAGTTTACCCAACAAAAGTAACATAGAAATTTATTTTACTGTAGCTCAAGAACAATTCTCAAAGAATATTCAAGGATGTCTAGCTATGATAATCCATACTTATTGCACTAAGCCTTCTTGACCTTACACAGCCTCCTGTATCTCACACAGCACCTAATGGGATTGTAGCAATTCACAGTTCTCTTCAATGTAAGTTTCTGCAGCATCACTGCATCCAGATAGGCAGATGAATAATTCTTATATTCACTTAAAAATTAGAAAATGTATTGCATTTCTAGTTTGCATCTAGAGGCTTCTCCAATTAATGCAACTTTTTAAATGGTGAATAAAGATTACAAGGGTGACCACAGCAGCTGGACTGACAATATGTACAATTCTTTGAATTGGGGGGAATTGAACCCATGAGCTTACTCAGAAAGGAGGAAAGCAGATTGATTTGTTTGAACATGGAAATATCTCCCTTCCCACCTCTTCTCCACCTCAGGCTTCAGTGCTTATTCCTTTTGTTTACTTCCCATGCATCTTGAAAGTATCATCATTATTCTGCAACAAGATTCCTTAAAGAGGTCATTGCTGGTGTACATAACCTAGTTATGTAAATAGAAATTTCTTATTTAAATTTTTCCACCTTCTTTTTCCCTCGTACATTAATAAATATCTATAAATACACATACTGTATATATAAATATACACACACATGCACATACGTACATACATATCTACTATTAGTTTAGCAAATACTGGCTTTTCATTCAATGCCGTTGGTAAGCTCTCTTAAACAGTTTCAAGACTGATTTCAACCAAAGATATATTGCACGTTTTGGAAGGAGTAAGATTTGAACCCTACTACTACTACTACTACTACTACTATGAGCTCATTCACCTACCTTAAGTTAGAAAAAATAGACCTGGCAAAAGCATGTGTGTTCATGTATAGGCGGCACCTAGGTATGTATATCCATTGTTAGCCTTAAACTTTGTTTCCCTGATGTGTAAATCTAAAAAATAATTAAAGGAAATAATAATCATGCCCCTCTTTTGGTATGTTTAATAATATAAAGACTAAAAAGTCATACTGTAATGAAAGACATCTTTACTAATTAACAGGCTGAAATGCTCTGGCTACAGGGGCAGTCTTCATTTCCCCATGTGGTTTCCATTTGGAGTTAGTGTCTCTGTCAGTCAGTAACAGTCTCCTCTGTCTGAGAGCATGCTCCTCTGACTTTCTCAAACGGTCATCTAAAATGGCTGCCTAATGGGCTGGCCAGATGACTTCGGGTATGAAAACCTCTTTCAGCCTATTACAAGGTAATTTTACCTAATGGGCTTTCATATCACTCTGTTCCTCAGAGCTGCAGCCCCATACTCTATTCCACTGCCCACCTCTGGCTCTGAGCCTAAGTCATCAAACCCAAATATTTAAAAGCATTATAACCCTACTTGAAACTACTTATATTTTAATTTTCTATAAAACTTATATAGACAACCTAACAGCCTAACTTGGCTCCAGACAGTATCACAATAATATACAACATAGCTAAAAAGGCATTCCAGTTTTTTTCTAATTGGTCCTCATATGAAAATGGGAAAAGGCTTTCAGCCTACTAAATTATTCAGTGGTACTATGCTTTCTCTAAATTTATTACTCTTGGCTGATACAGTTTTAGACATAAAATAAATGTCAGAATCTGAACTAAAAATGCAATAAATAGAACTGTCTTTACCGACAATGGCTGTTAAAAAAAATCTTCCATTTTCATACTTCACTTGTAGTGACTGTATATCATCAAATTTATTTTGATAAAAAGTTAAATAAAGTGAGAGAAACAGATCTAACCAAAATCACATTCACTAGCTTAAGGACTATGTGAGGGCAAGTAATCACATATTTTTGGTTAATTGTTTCACACATATTCCTGTTTTTAACACTTTGGCAGCAAATAAGACAAGATTACTAAATGTGTTATAGGAGTTATGTCAAAGATCACATATTACCCTACTTGGTTTTTGCACTGTTATAGTTTACAAAAAAGATAAGCAAAAGTAATAAAAGTAAAATCAAATGCAAAATATCTCGATGTAGTAAAAAAAAAAAAAAAAAAAAGGAACGTTTTTAGTTAGTCATTGCCCTCATCCATTTTTGAAATTATTTCAACACTTAGAAACTACTCCTATTTTATAATTCAGTAGCTTCTTAATCTTCCCCTTACATTAAATTACTTCAGCCTGACAAAGTTGTCTCCTTTCTTCTTGAGGCTTTTAATAGACTCAATAAAAATGATGATGATGCAACAATACTAATAACAAAAACAATAAATAACATTTATTGAACACTGACTATGTTTCACAGATTGTGTTAAGCGCTTTATCTGAATGATCTTTTGTAAAATCTTCACAATATCTCTGTAGACTTATTGTAATTAACCCCTTCCTACTCAGGAAGAAACTGAGAACCAGAGTAAACAAGTGACTTAAATGTTCCAGGGCTACAAATTCATACACAGGCCTCTGGCTCCAGTGCTACACATCTAGCATTTTTAAACATAAGTGAGATGTTACACTTTGGCTCAGAGCCCACTGGGCTTCCCTTGCTTCCTAATCTCATTCAAGTGTGAGCTCAAATGACACACAGAAAGAAATTTCCTCAATATCCCCGAAAAAATACCATTTTGTTTCTACTCTTTAGCACCATTTTTTATTTTTAGGGTTTACTACCTGCCAATATGTTAAATGTCTACACGTGAATGTTTTCCCCCTTTTGAAGCTTTGGAAGCTTCAAAAGGACAGAGATTTTGTTTTGTTCATTGTTGTATTCCTAATGCCTAGTGTAGTGATGACACATGGTTGATTGTCAACTAACATTTGTGAAAGGGAGGGAAGGAGGGAGGCAGGGAGACAGGAAGGAAAAAAAAGGAGGAAAGAGGGAAGGAAAAAAAGAATGGAGGAAGAAAGGAAGAAGAGGGAAGAAGGGTGGAAGAAACACAAAAAGAAAGAAACTGATTCTGCCAGGCAATCTTTCTACAGTGCTGTATAACTCCTACTGTCTTCTTTATTGTTGCTCTTCCTTTGCTGACTCCTTTTTATTTGCTTCCTAAATATAGGCATTATCTAAGATTTTCTTTTCATGGTTTCTCATTGCTTTCTTTCCAGAAACTTCTGTTTTTCCCCCTCCCTTTCCCCTATATTTAAGCAACCAGATTCACTTAGATGAATTCTTATAGTTATGAAGTCCTGATATCACGGAAGTTGAAAACTTTGAAGTTGAAATTTCCCCCTGCTGTCTGTTAGGAGTAGTGAAAGCCACTGAGCCAAGAATTCATGGATTCTTTCTCTTCCTGTACAAGTGTAAGAATGTTTAATGAAGAAAAACTCAACCAAAGTTTATTCTCGTGGTTTTGTAGCAATAAGAATAACTGACACACAATGAGTGCTAAGTCACTCAGGCGCTATTCTAGAGGCTTTAATGCATGTCTCATTAGATTCTCATGTAAACTCCATGAGGAAGATTATCATTTCACTCAGAAGTATATAATGCATCCTATGACTGCTTAGATCCTAGAATATTGAATATCCCTTATCCTTGAAAGGAAGTGAACTGAAGTGACAGTATTTGGGATAATAATGCAAGGATGGGAAAAGTTAGGGATTCAAGCAGGATACAAATTCTAAACCCTCAACTATTCCCAACCCAAAGCATTGAATCAAATTTCTAACAACATACAAAAAAGAAAGCCCACACACATAACAACAACAACAACAAACATGAAAATTGACAGTTTTAAGAAAAAAAATAAACCAACAACAATTCAGGGAAAAATTTTCTGAGAGCACATGATGATGGGATATCATTACATAAACATATATTGCTACCACATCTGGATTAAAGTAAAAAAATTACAAGATTTATAGTTATTTAATTTCATAACTCTAAACATTCCTAGTAATTGTCAGTTTAATTCTCCTTTGAAATTGATTGTAATTCTATTCCAAGGTTGTGTATACACTATTCTAGACATTTATATGGGAACCACAATATTTAATCACTACCCAGATGTTTCCAAAGAAATGCCCCAGATGGTAGACGCTAGGTCTGAAAGATCCAATTTGTGAAATTTTCAGAATTCTTAAGCTAAAACTTCTATCCAATACATAAAACTAAATTAGAATGTTCTCTTTTTGTTTGTTTTCCTACCTGATTTTGCTTCCTATTTTTTCTATTTCTATTATCAGTACTATAAAACAGCTTTCTCAAGTTTCATTCTTAATAATGTAATAAGTATTCTTTCAACTGCTCACATTTTTCACTCATAATCACCTCTACATACAGACATGAAATGGAAGATACACTGTGTTTAGGAAACCTGAGGTTTTCCATTACTCTAAGGATAAATTCCGAATTATTTAAACTATCTTTAAAGTCTCTCAATAATCTGATACCACCAGGCACATTGAATATTATCTTTCAGTATTTACCAAAAAAAGGAGCAACAATATTCATTGTTCCAATTTACACTACAACTACCAAACCTATACTTGGTGAAGACTTGCTTCAAGTCTCCACATAAAGAACTAAGGAGTATACTGTCCTAGCCTCAATGTCCTAAGTTGCCATATATTTTCTTCTTCTTTTATAAATGTAAAGCTTCACTACTCTATTCTCCTGTTTAGTTTGAGTTCACCAATTTAATAAACTTTTCCTTTCAGATTTGTTCTGATATAGCCTAGTTTTCTGACCAGAAGAACTTCAATGAAGGAACTAAAACAATTTAAACTGAAGTGAGGTCAAAAATGAATTCATCTATTCAAACTTATATGTTTGCATTTAATTTTTTAATGGAAATATGGTAATCATACATATTTATGGGGTACAGTGTGAGGTTTCCATGCATAAGTACATTGTGTAATGAACAAGTCAGGATAATTAGCAAATTCATCACCTCAAACACTTGTCATGTATTTGTGATGAGAACATTCAAAATCCTCTCTTCTAGATATTTTGAAGTACACATGATTGTTGACTATAGGCACTCTGCTGTGCAATAGAACACCAGAAATTATTCCCCTATCTAACTCTAACTTTGTGCCCATTCACCATGCTCTCCTCGGCCCCATCCCCTCTACTCTCCCCTCTACATTCTCCTCGGTAACCACTATTCTACTTTCTAATTCTATGAGGTCAACTTTTTAAGATTCCACGTGAGTGAAATCATGGAGGTATTTGTCGTTCTCTGCTTGGTTTGTTCCAATTAATATAATGTCTTTTAGGTTCACCCACGTTGTGCAAATGACAGGATTTCATTATTTTTTAATGCTTTATTTCATGATATTGTGTGTGTATGTGTATATATATATATATATATACCGTATTTTCTTTATCTATTCATCTTTTGTTGGATACTTAGGTTGATTCCATATCTTGACTATTGTGAACAGTGTTGGAATAAACCTGGGAGTGCAGATATATATTTGACACATTGATTCAACTTCCTTTAGACATATACTCAGTAGTGGGATTAATATTTTTGTATAGAGTTGTTTGAGCTCTTTATATATTCAGGTTATTATTATAATCCCTTGCTAGACGGATAGTTTGCAAATATTTTCTCCCATTCTCTGGGTTGTCTTTTCACTTGGTTGATTGTTTTCTTTGCTGTGCAGAATCCTTTTAACTTGATATGATCTCCCATTTGTTCACTTTCCCTTTAGTTGCCTGTGCTTGTGGGTTATTACTCAGTAAATCTTTGTCCAGTTCAATGTCCTGGAGAGTTTCCCTGATATTTTCTTTTAGTACCTTCATAGTTTGAGGTCTTAGATTTAAGTCTTTAATCCATTTTGATTTGATTTTTGTATATGATGAGAGATAGGGGTTCCGTTTCATTCTTCCGCATATGGAGATCCAATTTTCTCAGCACCATTAATTGAAGGGTTTGTCCTTCTTCTAATGTATGTTCTTGGTACCCTGTTTGAAAATAAGTTCACTTCAGATGTATGAATTTGTTTCTGGGTTCTCTGTTCCACTCCACTGAATGATGTGTCTGTCTTTATGGCAACACCATGCCGTTTTGGTTACTTAGCTCTGTAGTATAACTTGAAATCAGGTAATGTAATTTCTCCTGTTTTGTTCTTTTTGCTCAGGATATATTTGGCTATTCTGGGTATTTTGGGGTTCCATATAAATTTTAGGATTGTTTTTTCTATTTTTTTGAAGAATGCCATTGGTATTTTGATAGGGATTGCACTGAATCTGTAGATTGCTTTGGGTAGTAGACATGTTTACAATACTGATTCTTCCAGTAGATGAACATAGAATAGCTTTCCTTTTGTGTGTGTATCCTCTTCAATTCTTTCATCAAAGTTATATAGATTTCATTGTAGCAAACTTTTACTTCTTTGGCTAATTCCTAGGTATTTAACTTTATTTGTATCTATTGTAAGATAAATTATTTTTTAATTTCTTTTTCAGGTTGTTCACTGTTCCCATATAGAAATGCTACTGATTTTTGTATGTCGATTTTGTATTCTGAAACTTTACTGAATTTGTTTATAATTCTAATAATTTTTTGGTGGAGCATTTAGGATTTTGCAAGTATAAGATTATATTATCTGTAAACAAGAATAACTTGACTTCTTCCTTTTCAATGTGGATGCCCTTTATTACTTTCTCTTGTCTGATTGCTCTCACTACTCTTCCATTACTATGTTATATAATAGTAGTGAGTGTGGGAATCCTTGCTGTGCTCCAGATCTTAGAGGAAAGACTTCAGTTTTTCCCCATTGAGTATGATACTAGCTGTGGGTCTGTCATATATGGATTTTATTACATTGAGGTATGTTCCTTCTATACCTAGTTTGCTGAGTTTTTTAATTGTAAAGAAATATTGAGTTTTATCAAATGCATTTTTCACATCAATTGAAATGATTGTATTGTTTTTGTCTTTCATACAGTTGATACAAGGTATCACATTGATTGATTTGTGTATGTTGAACCATCCTTGCATCCCTGGGATAAATACCACTTGGTCGTGATGAATGATCTTTTTAAAATGTTGTTGAACTTGGTTTGCTAGCATTTTGTTGAAGATTTTTGCATCAATGTTCATCAGGGATATTGGCATGTAGTTTGTTTGTTTGTTTGTTTCTGATGCCTCTATGGTTTTGGTGTGAGCGTAATATTGGCTTCATAGAATGAGTTTGGAAGAATTATCCCCTTCTCTATTTTTTGGAATAGTTTAAGCAAATTTGGTATTAGTTCTTTAAATGTTTGGTAGAATTCAGCAGGGAAATCATCAGGCTTTTCTTTACTGGGAGAGTTTTTATTAAGGCTTCAATGTCCTTACTTCTAGATTTCCCAGTTTGCTAGTATATAGTTGCTCATAGTAGCCTCTAATGATCTTTTAAGTTTCTGTGGTATTGGTTGTCATATTTCCTCTTTAATTTCCATTTTTATTTATTTGAGCCTTCTCTCTTTTTTTCTTAGTCTTGCTAAAGGTCTGTCAATTTTGTTTATCTTTTCAAAGAACCAACTTTATGTTTCATTGACTTTTTGTTTTCTTAATTTCAATTTCATTTATTTCTGCTCTGATATTTATTACTTATTTTATTCTACTAATTTTTGGTTTGGCTTGCTCTTACTTTTCTAGTTCCTTAAACTTCAATATTAGGTTGTTTATTTGAAGTTTTTCTTCTTTTTTCATGTAGGCACTTATAGCTATATATTACCCTCTTAGTAATGCTGTCACTATATGCCATAGGTTTTGGTATGTTGTGCTTCCATTATCATTTGTTTCAAAAAATTTTTCAATTTTCTTCTTAATTTCTTCTTTTACCCACTGGTCAATCAGGAGTATGTTGTTTAATTTCCATGTGTTCCTATAGTTTCCAAAATTCCTCTTTGTTGTCGATTTCTAGTTGTATTCCATTGTGGTCAGATAAAATATTTGATTTTATTTCATTTTGAATGTTTTAAGACTTGCCTTGTGGCTAACATATAGTCTATTCTTGAGAATACCCCGTGTGCTATGGAGAGGAATGTGTATTCTGCAGTCACTGGATGAAATGCATTGTAAATATCTATTAAGCCCATTTGGTCTACAGTGAAGATTAAGTCTGATGTTTCTTTGTTGATTTTCTATCTGGAAGATCCATCCAATGTGGAAAGTGGGGTACTGAAGCCTCCAGCTATTATTGTTTTGGGGTCTATCTCTGCCTTTAGCACTAATAATATTTGCTTTACCTATCTGGGTGCTCCAGTGTTAGGTGCACACATATTTACCACTGTTATGTCTTCTTATTGAATTGACCCATTTATAATTATATTATGACCTTATTTGTCTCTTTTTATTGTTTTTGTCTTAAAATATATTTTGACCTCTATCTTGTTAGGTTGTATTTGTGTAGGAATACATATAGCTACTCCTGCTCTTTTTTGATTTCTACCGGCATGAAATACCTTTTTTCATCCCTTTATTTTTAGTCTATGTTTGACTTTATACATGGAATGTGTTTCTTGTAGGCAACAGAACATTGGGTCTTGTTTTGTAATCCATTCAGTCACTCTATGTCTTTTGATTGGAGAGTTCATTTACATTCAATGTTATTATTGATAGATAAGAATATACCTCTGTTATTTTGTTATTTTGTTTCTGGTTGTTTTTCCTTCCTTCCTTCCTTCCTTCCTTCCTTCCTTCCTTCCTTCCTTCCTTCCTTTCTTCCTTCTTGCCTGTCTCTTCCTTTTCCTTTCCTTCCTCCTTTCCTTTTATTTCCTTTCTTATTCCTTTCCTTTTCCTTTCCTTTCCTGTTTCCTCCCCCCTTTCCCTTTCCCTTTCCCTCTCCCCTTCCCCTTTCCCTCTGCCCTTCCACTTTCCTTCTCCCCTTCCCCTTTCCCTCTCCCCTTCCCCTTTCCCTCTCCCCTTTCCCTTCCCCTTTCCCTTTCCCCTTTCCCCTTCCCTTTCCCCTTTCCCCTTCCTCTTCCCCTTCCCCTTCCCTTCCCTTCCCTTTTTCTTATGTCTTCCTTTTAGAGTAGGTAAATTTCCCTGGTGGTATGTTTCAATTTCTTGCTTTTTTATTTTTTGTGTATACATTATATTTTTTTGATTTGAGGTTACTATGAGGGTGGCAGGTAATATCTTATAATCCACTATTTTAAACTGATGACAACTTAACACCGATTGCATAAACAGACTAACAAACAAGGAAAAAGAAAGCTAATAAAAATTCCACACTTTGTTCTCTCACATTTAAAAGTTTGTTCCTACTTATATTGTATTGTACTATGTCTTGAAAAGTTGTAGGTACTATTTTTGATCTGTTCATCTTTTTGTATTTCTACTTAAGATATGAGTAGCTTACATACCACAATTACAGTATTGTAATATTCATTGTTTTTATGTGTGTTTACTATGGCCAGTGAGTTTTATACCTTCAGATTTCTTATTGCTCATTGATGTCCTTTTCTTTCATATTAAAAAAACGTCCCTTAGCATTTCTTGTCAGACAAGTCTGGTGTTGATGAAACCCCTCACCTTTTGTTTGTCTGGAAATTCTCTATTTCTCTATATTTAAAGGATATTTTCAGCAGATATACTATACTAGGATGAAATTTTTTCCTTCAGCACTATAAATATGTCATGCCACTCTCTATGATTTCCACTGAAAAGTCTGCTGGTAGATATATTGGCCCTCCATTGTATGTTATTTGTTTATTTTATCTTGCTGCTGTTAGGATGCTTTCTTTATCCTTGACTTTTGGAAGTTTGATTATTAGATACCTTGAAGTCATCTTCTTTGGGTTAAATCTGCTTGGCGTTTCATAACCTTCTTGTACTTGGATATTGATATCTTTCTCTATGTTTGGGAAGTTCTCTGATATTATCTCTTTGAATAAACTTTCCCCTCTCTCAACCTCATCTTTAAGGACAATAACTCTTAGATTTGCCCTGTTGAGGCCATTCTCTAAGTGTTGTAGGTATGTTTTTTGTTTGTTTGTGTATTCCTTTCTGTTTTGTCTTCTCTGTGTATTTTCAGACAGCCTGACTTCAAGCTCACTAACTCTTTCCTGCTTGAGATTCCTCAACATAGCTATTTTGAATTCTATGTGAAAGGTCACGTATCTCTGTTTCTCTGGGATTGGTCCCTGGTGCCTTATTTAGTTTGTTTGGTGAGGTCACATTTCCCTGGATGGTCTTGATGCCTGTGGATATTCGTTGGTGTCTGGGCATTGAACAGATAGGTTATTATTGTAATCTTTGTTGTCTGGGCTTGTTTGTATTCATACATTTTGGGAAGGCTTTCCAGATATTTCAAGGGATTTGGGTGCTTTTTGTTTATGTGTTTGTTTGTTTCAGGCAGTGTCTGTCACCTAGGGTGGTGTGCAGTGGCATGATCATGGCTGACTGCTGCCTTGACTTCCCGGGCTCAATCAATTCTCTTACCTCAGCCTCCTGAGTAGCTAGAAGTACAGGTGCATGCCAGAATGCCTGACTAATTTTTATATTTTTTGTAGAGACATAGTTTCACCATGTTGTCCAGGCTTGTCTCAAACTCCTGGGCTCAAGTAATCTGCTAGCCTTGGCCTTCCAAAGTCCTGGAATTACAGGTGTGAGACACTGCACCTGGCCAGGACTAGGGAGTTGTGATATAAATTTTAGGTCACTGCAGCCAGATCTGCATTAAGGGGCACCCCAAGCCCAGTAACACTGTGGTTCCTGCAGACTCATAGAGATACCACCTTAGTGGTCTTGGATAAGATCTTGAAGAATTCTCTGGCTTACCTGGTAGAGACTCTTGTTCTCTTCCCTTACTTTCTCCTAAACAAATGTAGTCTCTCTCTCTCTCTGTGCTGAACTGCCTGGATCTGGGTGAGGGTTGACACAAATACACCTGGACCCACCACTACTGGAATTGCACTGGGTCAGACCTGATGTCAGCACAGCACTTCGTCTTAATCAAGGCCTGCTGTAACCACTACCTGGCTATGGCCTATGTTCACTCAAGGCCCTGGGGCTCTACAATCAACAGGTGACAAAGCAGTCAGGCTTGTGTCCTTCGCTTCAGGGTGGCAAGTTTCCTCAGGCCCTAGGTAGATCCAGAGCTTGGAGTTAGAAATATTAGAAGTCTACTTGGTGCTTTATTCTACTGTGGCTAAACTGAAACCCAAACCACAAGACAAAGTTCTTCCCACTCCTCCCTCCCCTTTCCACAGCCAGAAGTGTCTCTCCCCATGTCCACCACTACAAAAGGTCCATGGGGATTACTGCCAGTCTACAGGTGATGTTCACTTAAGGCCCAAAGGCTCTTTAGTCAGCTTGTGGTGAATATTGCTAGATTGAGACTCACCCCTCAGGGAAGTGGGCCCTGCTCTGGCCCAGGGTAGGTCCAGAAAGGCCATCCAAGACCCAAGACCTGGAATTGAGGACCCCAAGAGGCTCCTTTCTGCTTTATCTTATTGTGACTGAGCTAGTACCTAAGCTGAAAGACAAAGTCTGCTTTACTCTTCCTCTGCTTTTCTCAAGCAGATGGAGTCTCTCACAGCTGTGAGTTTGCTGTGACACACCTAAAGCCAAAACATCTCAGTATCTCACCCAAGGCCCATAGGGTGTACCACCTGGCTACTGCTGTTGATTACTCGGGGCTCAATGACTCTTTAGTCAGCAGATGATGAATCCTGCCAGTACTGGGTCCTTTCCCTCAAGGCAGCAAGTTCCCTTCTGGCCCAGGGTGTGTCTAGAAGTGTTGTCCAGGAACTAGGGCCTGGAATGGGACCTCATGATTCTACCCAGTGCTCTATCTTATGGTGGCTGAGCTGATATCCAAGTTGCAGGACAAAGTCCTCTTTACTCCAGTGCTCCCCTCTCCTCTCCTCTCCTCTCCTCAAGCGGAAGGAATAAGTCTCTTTCAGAGCTGTAAGCTGTTCTGCCTGAGACTGGCAGAGGCGTGGTACAAGCACTCCCTCAGTCACTCCAGCTGGTGTCTCACTATGTAATGTAACTACCACGTCCACTGGCTCTGAGACCAGTATAGCACTAGGAATTGCCTGGGAGTTGCAGTCCTTGTGGCCTAGACTGTATTTCAAGTTTATTTAAGACCCCCATAGCATCTCAGCCCACAGTGAAAAAGCTGTCAGACTCAAGTTCAGATTGCTGGACTGATCAATTATCCTCTGGCTACGGCTTGTCTAAATACTCCCACTGTGGGTGTCAGCTAAATTCTGCCTGGTGTTGGCAGTACTGAGTTCCAATGCAAAGTCCCACAATCACTGTGCTCTCCCTCCTACAAGTGCACAGATTCTCTGTCAGTCACATGGCCACTGCTAGGGAATGGAGAGGGGTGACCTCGGCATTTAAGACTGTCATTCCTAGCCTCATCAGTGCTTCTTTTAGTGATATGAAGTTAAATCAGGTACTTTCATCACTCACCTGATTTTTTGTTATTATCAAAGTGCTTTTTTGTGTAGATAGTTGTTCAATTTGGCGTGCCTGCCGAAGGATAAGTGGTGGAGGATTCTATTTGTCCATATTGCTCTGTCTCCTCCTGAGTTTCTTATATTCTGGATATTAATTCCTTGTCAGATGCATAGTTTGTACATATTTTCTCTCATTTTGTAGGTTGTCTCTTCATTCTATTCATTGTTTCCTTTGCTGTGCACAAGTTCTGCAGTTGATGTAATTCCATTTTGTCTACTTTTTCCTTTTGTTGCCTGTGCATTTGAGGGCTTATTAAAAAAATTCTTGCCCAGATGAGTATCATGAAGCATTTATGTTTTCTTCTAGTACTTTCATAGTTTTAGGTCATAAATTTAAGTCTAACAAGTATGTGGCAAAAAATTGGAAAACTTAAAAGAAATGGATAAATTTTGGATACATAAAACATACCAAGATTGAATCAAAAGAAACAAAAAACTTAAACAGATCAGTAACAAGTAATGAGACTCAGTAATGAAAAGTCTTCTGTTTAACGAAAGCTTAGGAGCTGATGGATTAAATGCTGAATTCTATCAAATATTTAAAAAAGAACTAATACCAATTCTTCTCATACAATTCCTAAAAGATGTAGCGGAGGGAATTCTAAACGCAGTCTATGAGGCCAGCATTAGTCTGATACCAAAACCAGACAAGAACACGACCAAAAAGAAAACTACAGTCTAATATCCCCAAAGAACATAAATGCAAAAGTCCTCAATAAAATAGTAGGAAACTAACTCTAACACTGCATCAAAAAGATCATTCGCCATGATGAAGTAGAATTCATCCCAGGGATGCAAGGATGGTTCAGCATAGGCAAATCAATAAATGTGATACATCCCATTAACCAAATGAAAGACAAAAACCTAATGATCATCTCCATAGACGCAGAAAAAGCATTTGATAAATTCAACATCCCTTCATAATAGAAATCCTAAACAAATTAGGTATAGAAGAAATATACCCAATATAATAAACACCCTATATGACAAACCCACATTTAACATGCCAAATGGGGAAAAATTAAAAGTTTTTCCTCTAAGAACTGGAATAAGACAAGGATGCTCACTTTCACTACTTCTGTCCAGCACAGTACTGGAAGTCCTAGCTAGAGCAGTTAAGAAGGGGGAAAAAAATACAAGGCACTGAAATTGGAAAGGAAGAGGTTTAAATTGTCCTTATTTCTAATTGACATAATCTTATATATAGAAACACTACAGACTCCCCAAAAACTGTTAGAACTAATGAACAAATTCAGTAAAGTTGCAGTATTTAAAATTAACACACAAAAATCTGTAGTGTTTCTATACACCAATAGCAAACTATCTGAAAAAGAAACAAAGAAAGCAACCCCATTTACAATAGCTACAAAAAAATACTTAAAAATACAATTTAACCAAGGAAGTGAAAGATCTCTACAATGAAAACAATAAAACATTGATAAAATAAATTGAAGAGGACACTAATAAAAGGGTATATAGCCCATGTTTATAGATTGGAAGAATTGATATTGTTAAAATGTTCACAGTATCCAAAGTGATCTATAGATTCAGTGCAATCCCTATCAAAATATCCACAACATTTTGCACAGAAATAGAAAAAAAAATTGAAAAGTTCTTATGGAACCACACAATACCTCAAATAGCCAAAGCAATACTGAGAGAAAGCTAGATGCATAATAGTAACGAAAAAAGCATGGTAGTGACATAAAAACAGACACATGGACCAACAGAACAAAATAGAGGCCCAGAAATCAATTCACACATTTACAGCCAACTAATTTTCAACCAACACCACACCAAGACCACACATTAGGGAAAGGAGAGTCTCTAATAAATGTTGCTGGGAAAACAAAATATCTATATGCAGAAGAATGAAACTGAACCCCTATCTGTCACCACTTACAGAAATCAACTCAAATAAACTATTTAATGGTACCTATTCCTTAAGTTTACTGTATCTACATGCATGTAAACTGAAGTCCTGCAATGTAAGCACCCACCTTTCACAAACATTAATAATTTGATTAGGAAAAAATAAGTGCTTAACATCGAGTAAAGCAAACTTTACATTCTCAAAGGGCAAGCAGGTATCTTTTTAAAAGTTATTATTATTGTACAACTAGAAAACAATAACTAGATTCTTAGCTTCTTGAATGCAGATACATTTGACCCTTGCACAACATGTATTTGAACTGTGTGGGCCCACATAAGTAGATTTTTTTTTAAATAAATACAATCACCCTTCTATAACTGCAGGTTCCACATCCACAACTGAATGTGTATCAAAAATACAGTCAGTCAGCTACTTCAGAAGCTGAGGCAGGAGTATCACCTGAGCTCCGGAGTTCAATATTACAATAAGCTATGACCACCACTGCTTTCAAGCTTGGGTGACAGAGTGAGACCCCATCTCAAACAAACAACAGTATTTGGGGGATGCAAAAACCCATGGATACAAAGGGCTGACTTTTCATATACGCAGGCTCTGAAGGGCCCACTGTAGGACCTGAGTATGCACTGATTTTGGTGTCTGTGGGGGTCCTGGGACCAATCCCCTTTGGATACCAAGGGGCAACTTTACAGTGTTTTTTTGCCTATCTCCCATAACCCTAGAAGAAAAGGATGTATATATACGTGCTGAATCAATACTTGCATGTTTCTTTAGTAAGAAACTTCATGTGTTTTTAAATTATCAAGAGGTGGAATAAGTTACATGGCGATGCTTACCAAAAATTTAAAAACATTATTCACAAACCAAAGAATAAAGTATTTTTTGCCCTACTTTTCAGAGGAATCAACTGACAACAGCTGAAATATCAAAAATCAAAGGATAAAACTTCTCTAGTATCAATAAAACAAAGAAAATGTCACACTCCTAAATATATATATGTGTATCTATCTATCTATCTATCTATCTATCTATCTATCTATCTATCTGTCTATCTACCTATCTATCTATCTATCTAATCTTATCTATCTATATTTAAAGCACAAAATATAAAGCATATCAAGTAAAACAGTACTGTGAAATTGTAAGGGAATGTATTGAAAGCTAACACTTTCCTCTTCAAAGTTCACTGGGATATTGCTTTCCTAAACCTTGTAGTCAAAGACCATTTCTTGAAGTAAAGTAGGGAAAAGGAGGGAGAAAAATCGTGGATTTCAGACTGCAACACAAAGAGCCTGTGCCCAGGATACTGCTGTGGGCCATGTCAATCTTGAAGGTAGAAAAAATATATTTCTCCAGGAGAGTATTAGACCCCCAAATCATGCCCCCAGCACACTTTCTTCAACTCCCCATGTAACCAAGCAGCTCGACTTCAAAATGCATTTTAAAACTTTTTTCTTTTCTCCTTTGTCTTGAGATGTAACCTGAAAGCAAACTGCAGAAGCTTTTCCCATAACCTTAAAATAGACTCTAAATTCCTCCCTTTCCCACTGTATACTCCCTTCACATTTATCTAGCTGTATGCTAGTACTTAATTATGTGCTTACTTATAAGTTCCAAGGGCTAATCTTGAGACAGACAAACCAAGCCTGGAGACCCAGCTGCACAATTTCAGAGATTACCTCAAGGAGGCTAGTCAACAACCTGGCCATTGTTGAGATGACTCCAGCCCATGCTCCAGGTGGAATGACACTCAAGATAGCCACTGAAACAAGACATGCAGACCTTGTACTCAGCACAATTCCTGCATGCCTCCCCATATCAAGTTTCCCTTTTGAAATCCCCGCCTCCTCCCCAGAAATTCAAAGTGGCTGCTTTGGACTACAGTCTGGGCATTTCCCCATCACTAGTTTTGGTTAATAAAGTAACTTTCTTTTTACCATACCTTGCACTTGTCACTGGACTCTGCAAGCAGCACGTGGCAGACCTGTGTTGGGTTACACCCACACCATTATTCAGCAAGCACTGAATCCATACAAAAATGAATAATAATCAGACAAAAAGTCACAAAAGACTTCCCCATGGAAACCAGAAACAACAACAGTAGCAATAGTGAGACAAAACCAAAAATGGGGAAAATGGGGTGCCTGGGTAAAGAGTCATGAGGAAAAGGCAATATTTATGCAAATTAACATTAAGATTTTAGACAAATAATTTTCCAGAATCATTAAGACAATATGGTTACAGAGATTCAGGGTTCAGATGCAATAAACTGAAAGCGATGAATGAAGGCTAGCAGAGCAACATGAAAACATAGAAGAGAAAAATGAAAATATACCACAGCTAAAACACACATGCAGTACAGACTAACTGTGATTAAAGCTAAATAAGATACATGGTGGATAGCTTGAGGAAAATGTACAGTGTAAAGTGGAAAGAAAATTGTAAATACTGTTAATTGAGATAATGGATATAGAAAACAAAACAAAACAGAAAAACTTCAACATAATAAGTGCTCCCAAAAGAAAAAAAGAGGAAAGCATTTTTGAAATAAAGGCTTGGGTATGCAAATTGAAATAAAATGTGTTTCTGAGAAATCATATTGAATAATTACAACACTAAGGTATAATCAAACAAAGCTACTGAACTTCAAATACAAAAAGAATCAAATGGATATTCAGGTAGAAAAAGCATGTCACAGACAAGGAAAAAAATCATTTTGGCCTTAGGCTCTAACCAAAGCCACATATTTATACCAAAAGATGGTGAAACAATGTGAACACATTTATCAATGAGATAAATTAATCTTAGGATATTTACTCTGAGTCAGGTTGTTCTTTAAGTAAGAAAGACAAGCATGCATACTGGAATCATCCCCATAAGACCTTTCTAAAACAAAACTACTATAACTATTAAGCCACCACCCTTTCTACTATTGAGCAGCAAAATCCAGTCTTTTAAGAAAAAATCACCTTAATAACTTAGCAATGGAGAAATTATAGCGAGCACTGATTCTATTTAAATATAAAACTAAGATGGAGAACTATTAAGAGTAGATTTATAGTGTCAGAGCAGAATTTCAATGTTATAACCACCATCAGCATAATAGTAACAAAATAAGAGGGAGAGGAGTGTGAGAAAGGAGTCAGAGACAAAGTGTAATTATACTAATTTATTCATCTTTCATAGCTCAGGATCAAGACACTAACTAAAATTAATACACATGCTTTAGAAGAATAATAAATATGTTTTAAAAAATTTTAAATAATCTTTTAGTTTCAGAATATTTTAAAAATATATACTTCTTGTAATGAATAAACTCATATCTGAATTTGAGACGTTCCTTAAATTTGTGTTTTGTGGTTTTTTTAAGTCAAACAAGTCAAATGTAATATTTTATAAGCTAAAATATTATGTAAAGAATAATTACTTTATTCTGAATTATTTATATTTATTCATTGGTCAATACATCATCCCAGAAATATCACTTAAAATTAAGAGTAGCTATTTCTGGATAGTGGAAATTTTTATGATTTCTTGCTTTCTTGTAGTATTTTTTCCCTCCATGGGTTGGGGTGTGCATAATAAGCCTGTATTTTTACAATATTACCATTGCGTCTATTAGCATAGCTTAAAATACACTGTTTGCTGTGGGTTGAATGTCTCTGCCAAAACTAATGTTGAAATTTAATTGCCAGTGTAAGGGTGTTGGGAAATGGGGCCTTTAAGAAGTGATTATGTCACGAGGGCTTCACCCTTATGAGTAGATTAATGCTGTTATTGAGGGAAGGGGTTAGTTATCACAAGAGTAGCCTCCTGATAAAAGGACAACTTTGTGGAAGTTATCATACTAAGTTAAATAACTCAGGAACAGAAAGTCAAATACCAGATGATATGGTTTGGATTCGTGTTCAGCCCAAACCTCATGTTGAATTGTAATCCCCAGTGATGGAGAAGGGGCATGGTGGGAGGTGATTGGATCACGGGGGTGGATTTCCCCTTGCTGTTCTTGTGATAGTGAATTCTCACAAGACCTGGTTGTTGAAAAGTGTGTAGCACCACCCCCTTCACTCTCTTCCTCCTTCTGCAGCCATGTAAGACATGCTTGCTTCCTCTTTGCCTTCTGCCATGAATGGAAGCTTCCTGAGTCCTCCCCAGTGATGCTTCCTGTACAGCCTATGGAACTGTGAGTCGATTAAACCTGTTTTCTTTATAAATTAACCAGTTTCAGGTAGTTATTTATAGCAATGTGAGAAAGGACTAGTATACCATGTGTTCTCACATAGAAGTGGGTGCTGAACAATGTGGACAAACGGATATATAGAGTGGAATAGTCAACATAGGAGACTACAAATGTGGGCAAGTCAGCGGAGTGAAGGTTAAAAATTACCTGTTGGGTACAATGTTCACTATTTGGGTGTGGGTACACTAAAAGCCCAGACTTCACCACTACACAATATATGCAGGTAAGAAATCTGCACATGTACCCACAAATCTATAAAAATAAAAAGTAAAATAAAATGGTAGATTTAAGTCTAGCCACACCAACAATTACATTCAATGGAAATTGTCTATCATTCCACTTAAGGGATCGAAGTAGTTACATTAACTTTTTAAAAAGATCTAGGTGCTGGGCTCAAGAAAGCCAGTTTAGTCATAAAGACTTACAAAGATTAAAAGCAACCGGATGAAAAAAGATACCATGCAAACAATAAGCAAAAGGAGTTTGGAGAACACATAACAATCCTAAACAGGTACGCACTTACCTAACAACAAGGTTTTAACATGCATGAAGCACACACACACACACACACACACACACACACACACACACAAAACCTAAACAAATTTAAATAAGTGGAATTCATGCAAAGTATTTTTAGTGACTATAATGAAATTCTATTAATAATGAAAGATGAAAGAATTTTATCTCTGAGAGGGTGGTAACTTCACCTGCATTCTTCACAGATATATTCTTGGTGACTGGAATAGTGCCTAGAAGATAATAAGTCATTAATAAACATATGTTGAATGAAAAATTTTTTAGGTTTGGCCTGATTCCTCTATCTGTCTAATGTGCTTGCTTCTGCCTTCTGCCCTTCTACCGTGGGATCACCCCGAACAGATGCTGGCACTGTGCTCTTGGATTTCCCTATAAATTACCCAGTCAGTGGTATTCTGTTACCGAAGCAGTAAACAGACTAAGAAACTGATGTAACAAATGCCCCCTAAATGTCAGTGCCTTAGCCCGCCAAAGTTTTAATTTGGATCCATGTCACGTATCCATCAGGAGTCAGCAGTGGCTGTACTATACCATGAAGTCTCACAGGAACTCAGGTTGCCATAACTGTCTTAAACATTTCAGAGTGTGGCTGCGCAAGTCACAGGGTCAAGCCTGCCATCAATGGGAAGGAGAAGTATTAATTATCCCCAGGGAGAGGTAAAAAATAATTTGAACAATAAAACAGTCTGAAACAAATGGAAAGTCATTCTTTGTTAAAGAAAATATACTATTCTCAGAGTAGATCTTAAAATTTAGATCTTTTAAAGCAAAGAAAAAATTCTTACATTTCTTGATGAGAGATCTCTAGCTCTGTGACTTTCCTCCTGCTTCTACATACCCTGCAGTGCTTTGCACAGTTTTTTCCACATAGCACGTATTCATTCAAAACATGTGTCTTAAATTGGACTAATTTCACATATCAGCTTATGGTAAGATATTGTGTTTAAAAATACATTCTGGGTGGAATACTTTTTTCCTTTCTCTCTCTGTCTTTATCTCCTTCCTTTCTTTCTTCTTTTCTTCCTTTTTAATTTTCTCCAAAATGAAAATACCTTCTAGAAGTCAGTAAGAAAAAGAGACAATTTACTTATACATGAAAATAAATAAGGCCATAGAGTTTACCTAAAATAAATTCAGAAGGTCAATAAAATTATAAAAGTATGCTTAACTAAAATTGCCATTAAAGAAATCCAAAATCCAAAACAAAACAAATTAAGATAGTTTTCTCTATTTAAAGTTGTTGAAAAATTGAAAAATCTTGTAAGTCCAGTTCTAGTAAGAATCCATGTTCTATTTGCTTAGAATTGTCTTGGCTACATGGGTTCTTTTTTGGTTCCATATGAAACTTAAAGTAGTTTTTTCTAATTCTGTGAAGAAAGTCAGTGGCAGCTTGATGGGAATAACATTGAATCTATAAATTACTTTGGACAGAATGGCCATTTTCATGATATTCATTCTTCCTATCCATGAGCATGAAATGTTTTTCCATTTGTTTGTGTCCTCTCTTATTTGCTTGAGCAGTGGTTTGTAGTTCTCCTTGAAGAAGTCCTCCACATCCGTTGTAAGTTGTATTCCTACGTATTTTATTCTCTTGGTAGCAATTGTGAATGGGAGTGCACTCATGATTTGGCTCTCTGTCTATTATTGGTGTATAGAAATGCTTGTGATTTTTGGACATTAATTTTGTAACCTGAGACTTTGCTGAAGTTGCTTATCAGCTTAAGGATATTTTGGGCTGAGATGATGGGGTATTCATAATAGACAATCATGTCATTTGCAAACAGAGACAATTTGACTTCCTCTCTTCCTATTTGAATACCATTTATTTCTTTCTCTTGCCTGATTGCCCTGGCCAGAACTTCCAATACTATGTTGAATAAGAGTGGTGAGAGAGGGCATCCTTGTCTTGTGCCAGTTTTCAAAGGGAATGCTTCCAGCTTTTGCCCATTCAGTATACTGGCTGCGGGTTTGCCATAAGTAGCTCTTATTATTTTGAGATATGTTCCATCAATACTTATTTTATTGAGCGTTTTTAGTATGAAGGGTGTTGAATTTTATCAAAGGCCTTTTCTGCATCTATTGAGATAATCATGTGGTTTTTGTAATTAGTTCTGTTTATGTGATGGATTATGTTTATTGATTTGCGTATATTGAACCAGGCTTGCAATCCCAGGGATGAAGCCAACTTGATTGTGGTAGATAAGCTTTTTGATGTGCTGCTGGATTTGGTTTGCCAGTATTTTACTGAGGCTTTTCACATCAATGTTCATCAGTGACACTGGCCTGAAATTTTCTTTTTTGTTGTTGTTGTATCTCAACCAGGTTTTGGTATCAGGATGATACTGGCCTCAAAAATGAGTTAGGGAGGATTCCCTCTTTTTCTATCATTTGGAATAGTTTCAGAAGGAATGGTACCAGCAACTCTTTATACCTCTGCTAGAATTCGGCTGTGAATCTGTCTGGTCCTGGGCTTTTGTTGGTTGGTAGGCTATTAGTTACTGCCAAGGTATAACATTACCTGCCTTCAAACTATACTATGAGGCTACAGTAACCAAAACAGTGTGGTACTGGTACCAAATCAGATATATCAACCAAAGGAACAGGACAGAGGCCTCAGAAATAATGCCACACATCTACAACCACCTGATCTGTGACAAACCTCACAAAAACAAGCAATGGGATAAAGATTCCCTATTTAATAAATTGGGAAAACTGGCTAGCCATATGCAGAAAACTGAAATTGGACCCCTTCCTTACAAAATTTACAAAAATTTTACAAAATTTAACTCAAGATGGAGTAAAGACTGAAATCGAAGACCTAAAATCATAAATACCCTAGAAGGAAACCTAGGCAATACCATTCGGCACAGAGGCATGGGCAAAGACTTCATGACTAAAACACCAAAAGCAATGGCAACGAAAGCCAAAATTGACAAATGGATCTAATTTAACTAAAGAGCTTCTGCACAGCAAAAGAAACTATTATCAGAGTGAAAAGGCAACCTACAGAATGGGAGAAAATTTTTGCAATCTATCCATCTGACAAAGGGCTACTATCCAGAATCTACAAAGAACTTAATCAAATTTACAAGAAAAAAACTAAGCAACCCCATCAAAAAGTAGGCGAAGGATATGAACAGACACTTCTCAAAAGAAGACATTTATGCAGCCAACACACATGTGAAAAAAAGCTAATCAACACTGGTCATTAACGAAATGTAAATCAAAACCACAATGAGATACCATCACATGCCAGTTAGAATGGGATCATTAAAAAGTCATGAAACAACAGATGCTGGAGATGATGTGGAGAAATAGGAATGCTTTTACACTGTTGGTGGGAATGTAAATTAGTTTAACCATTGTGGAAGACAGTCTGGCAATTCCTCAAGGATCTAGAATCAGAAATACCATTTGACACAGCAATCCCATTACTGGGCATATACTCAAAGGATTATAAATCATTTTACTATAAAGACACATGCACATGTATATTTACTGCAGCACTGTTCACAATAGCAAAGACTTGGAACCAACCCAAATCCCCATCAACGACAGACTGGATAAAGAAAATGTGGCACATATACACCATGGAATACTATGCA
This sequence comes from Homo sapiens, assembly GCF_000001405.40. Taxonomy (NCBI): domain Eukaryota; kingdom Metazoa; phylum Chordata; class Mammalia; order Primates; family Hominidae; genus Homo; species Homo sapiens. Next base: position 49,479,262 of record NC_000002.12, read on the forward strand.
GCCATGAAAAGGATGAGTTCATGTCCTTTGCAGGGACATGAATGAAGCTGGAAACCACCATTCTCAGCAAACTAACACAGGAATGGAAAACCAAACACCGTATGTTCTCACTTAAAAGTGGAAGCTGAACAGTGAGAAAACATGGACACAGGGAGGGGAACATAACACATGGGGGCCTGTTGGGGGATGGGGGCTAGGGGAAGTATAGCATTATGAGAAATACCTAATGTGGATGACAGGTTGATGGGTGCAGCAAACCACCACGGCACATGTGTACCTATGTAACAAACCTGCATGTTCTGCACATGTATCCCAGAACTTAAAGTATAATAAAAAAGGAAAAAAATAGGGATAGTATTGATACTAAACTGTCTCATTTTATAAATCACTAATATTCATTAACAGCTTTATGAAGTAATTGCTAAAAAACATATATCATCTCATCAAAAGATATAGTTACAATAAAATGCTATTTTTTGTGTTTAATAAAAAAAGAATACATAGAAGTATGTACTGTTAATGGGAATATAAATTGCCATAGCCATTTTAGAAACTATTTTGGCAATATCTATAAAATATTTTTATACATCTATATTTTGATTCCGAGTTCCATAGCTAGTAACGCAAGTGTACAATGTGGTTGACAAATTATCTCAGAATAAATGAACAAGTATATTCACTCTAGCACAGTCTGTAGAAACAAAAAACCAGGACAACCTAAATGTCCATAAAGAATATAACCTAGAAACGACCCAAATGACCGCCACTAGGGATACAACGGTAAAGTATACATTTATTTAGAAATACCTAGTACATTTCTATGTGCATATATGTAATGACTTATAAGATATATTAAACTATATCTTATATTGAAAAAACAGTGAATATACAAACACACATATATACGGTGGCATATGTGTAGAATTATTTTCTGGATATACATACAAGAAGTATTGGCAACAATGGTTATCTCTGGAGATGGGAAATGAGACAAGATTTTTAGTTCTTATTTGTATAATTCTTTTGTTTGAATTTTCAAAGTGTTACTTTGATTTTAAAAATATCAGTGAGATTATTTGTATGTGGGATATGTGGACCATTTTTGCGTCTTCTTTTCTCCATCTTTAAAAAATTAATAATTGTTATACATATGGAAAAGGTTTATTGTTTTGTCTGTTTAAAAACATGTTCTCATTTGTAAAAATAAACCAGGTAACAGAGAAAATAAAAACTATGAAAAAGAAAATAAAATTAGCATAGAATTCCACTTCTGAGACCATATCTTTTAAAAATACATAACATACAGAAGAATAATCAGCATCAATCACAACTCAATCCTGTAGGTAAGAAATGATGACCATTATGTCCTTGAATATTACACACATTTGCTACCCCTAGGACACGTATGCAAAGATGGAATATGGGGTGGAGAGAGAGAGTGTGTTCAATATTATTAGATGACTTGGCACAAAATCCCTAAATCTAAGGCACAGGGTTGCCTTTACCAATGTTGTATGAGAAAGTTGCAAAAAGGAGCACTGCACTTATGGGTGATACTTAGGTGTGATAGAACCTGTGGTGACCAACCCTTTGAACTTATAAAAAACATGCTAGGAGAGTGGAGCCAAGATGGCTGAATAGGAACAGCTCCAGTCTACAGCTCCCAGCGTGAGCGACACAGAAGACGGGTGATGTCTGCATTTTCACCCGAGCTTTGAAGAGAGTAGTGACTCTCCCAGCACGCAGCTTGAGATCTGAGAACGGACAGACTGCCTCCTCAAGACGGTCCCTGACCCCCGAGTAGCCTCACTGGGGGGCACCCCCGAGTAGGGGCGGACTGACACATCACACGGCCCGGTACTCCTCTGAGACAAAACTTCCAGAGGAACGATCAGGCGGCAGCATTTGCAGTTCACCAATACCCACTGTTCTGTAGCCACTGCTGCTGATACCCAGGCAAACAGGGTCTGGAGTGGACCACCAGCAAACTCCAACAGACCTGCAGCTGAGGGTCCTGACTATTAGAAGGAAAACTAACAGAAAGGACATCCACACCAAAAACCCATCTGTACGTCACCATCATCAGAGACCAAAGGTAGATAAAACCACAAAGATGGGGAAAAAACAGAGCAGAAAAACTGGAAACTCTAAAAATCAGAGCACCTCTACTCCTCTAAAGGAACACAACTCCTCACCAGCAACGGAACAAAGCTGGACGGAGAAGGACTTTGACGAGTTGAGAGAGGAAGGCTTCAGAAGATCAAACTACTCCGAGCTAAAGGAGGAAGTTCGAACCAATGGCAAAGAAGTTAAAAACTTTGAAAAAAAAATGAGACGAAGGGATAACTAGAATAATCAATGCAGAGAAGTCCTTAAAGGACCTGACGGAGCTGAAAACCACGGCGCAAGAACTACGTGACGAATGCACAAGCCTCAGTAACTGATGCGATCAACTTGAAGAAAGGGTATCAGCGATGGAAGATGAAATGAAGTGTGAAGAGAAGTTTAGAGAAAAAAAGAATAAAAAGAAATGAACAAAGCCTCCAATAAATATGGGACTATGTGAAAAGACCAAATTTACGTCTGACTGGTGTACCTGAAAGTGACGGGGAGAATGGAACCAAGTTGGAAAACACCCTGCAGGATATTATCCAGGAGAACTTCCCCAATCTAGCAAGGCAGGCCAATGTTCAAATTCAGGAAATACAGAGAATGCCACAGAGATACTCCTCGAGAAGAGCAACTCCAAGACATGTAATTGTCAGATTCACCAAAGTTGAAATGAAGGAAAAAATGTTAAGGGCAGCCAGACAGAAAGGTCGGTTTACCCACAAAGGGAAGCCCATCAGACTAACAACGGATCTCTCAGTAGAAACTCTACAAGCCAGAAGACAGTGGGGGCCAATATTCAACATTCTTAAAGAAAAGAATTTTCAACCCAGAATTTCATATCCAGCCATACTAAGCTTCATAAGTGAAGGAGAAATAAAATACTTTACAGACAAGCAAATGCTGAGAGATTTTGTCACCACCAGGCCTGCCTTACAAGAGCTCCTGAAGGAAGCACTAAACATGGAAAGGAACAACCGGTACCAGCCACTGCAAAAACATGCCAAATTGCAAAGACCATCGAGGCTAGTAAAAAACTGCATCAACTAACAAGCAAAATAACCAGTTAACATCATAATGACAGGATCGAATTCACACATAACAATACTAATCTTAAATGTAAATGGGCTAAATGCTCCAATTAAAAGGCACAGACTGGCAAATGGGATAAAGAGTGAAGACCCATCAGTGTGCTGTATTCAGGAAACACATCTCATATGCAGGGACACAAATAGGCTCAAAATAAAGGGATGGAGGAAGATCTACCAAACAAATGGAAAACGAAAAAGGCAGGGGTTGCAATCCTAGTCTCGGATAAAACAGACTTTCAACCAACAAAGATCAAAAGAGACAAAGAAGGCCATTACATAATGGTAAAGGGATCAATTCAACAAGAAGAACTAACTATCCTAAATATAAATGCACCCAATACAGGAGCACCCAGATTCATAAAGGAAGTCCTTAGTGACCTACAAAGAGACTTAGACTCCCAAACAATAATAATGGGAGACTTTAACACCCCACTGTCAATATGAGACAGATCAATGAGACAGAAAGTTAACAAGAATATCCAGGAATTGAACTCAGCTCTGCACCAAGCGGACCTCATAGACATCTACAGAACTCTCCACCCCAAATCAACAGAATATACAGTTTTGTCAGTGCCACACCACACCTATTCCAAAATTGACCACACAGTTGGAAGTAAAGCACTCCTCAGCAAATGGAAAAGAACAGAAATTATAACAAACTGTATCTCAGACCACAGTGCAATCAAACTAGAACTCAGGATTAAGAAACTCACCCAAAACTGCTCAACTACATGGAAACAGAACAACCTGCTCCTGAATGACTACTAGGTGCATAACGAAATGAAGGCAGAAATAAAGATGTTCTTTGAAACCAACGAGAACAAAAACACAACATACCAGAATCTCTGGGACACATTCAAAGCAGTGTGTAGAGGGAAATTTATAGAACTAAATGCCCACAAGAGAAAGCAGGAAAGATCTAAAATTGACACCTAACATCACAATTAAAAGAACTAGAAAAGCAAGAGCAAACACATTCAAAAGCTAGCAGAAGGCAAGAAATAACTAACATCAGAGCAGAACTGAAGGAAATAGAGACACAAAAAACCCTTCAAAAAATCAATGAATCCAGGAGCTGGTTTTCTGAAAAGATCAACAAAATTGATAGACCACTAGCAAGACTAATAAAGAAGAAAAGAGAGAAGAATCAAATAGATGCAATAAAAATGATAAAGGGGATATCACCACTGATCCCACAGAAATACAAACTACCATCAGAGAATACTATAAACACCTCTAAGCAAATAAACTAGAAAATCTAGAAGAAATGGATAAATTCCTCGACATATATACCCTCCCAAGACTAAACCAGGAAGAAGTTGAATCTCTGAATAGACCAATAACAGGATCTGAAATTGAGGCAATAATTAATAGCTTACCAACCAAAAAAAATCCAGGACCAGATGGATTCACAGCCGAATTCTACCACAGGTACAAGGAGGAGCTGGTACCATTCCTTCTGAAACTGTTCCAATCAATAGAAAAAGAGGGAATCCTCCCTGACTCATTTTATGAGGCCAGCATCATCCCATCAAAGCCTGGCAGAGACACAACAAAAAAAGAGAATTTTAGACCAATATCCTTGATGAACATTGATGCAAAAATCCTCAATAAAATACTGGCAAACTGAATCTAGCAACACATCAAAAAGCTTATCCACCATGATCAAGTGGGCTTCATCCCTGGGATGCAAGGCTGGTTCAACATATGCAAATCAATAAATGTAATCCAGCATATAAACAGAACCAAAGACAAAAATCACTTGATTATCTCAATAGATGCAGAAAAGGCCTTTGACAAAATTCAACAACCTTCATGCTAAAAACTCTCAATAAATTAGGTATTGATGGGACGTATCTCAAAATAATGAGTTATCTATGACAAATCCACAGCCAATATCATACTGAATGGACAAAAACTGGAAGCATTCCCTTTGAAAACTGGCACAAGACAGGGATGCCCTCTCTCACCACTCCTATTCAACATAGTATTGGAAGTTCTGGCCAGGGCAATCAGGCAGGAGAAGGAAATAAAGGGTATTCAATTAGGAAAAGAGGAAGTCAAATTGTCCCTGTTTGCAGATGACATGATTGTATATCTAGAGAACCCCATCATCTCAGCCCAAAATCTCCTTAAGCTGATAAGCAACTTCAGCAAAGTCTCAGGGTACAAAATCAATGTGCAAAAATCACAAGCATTCTTATACACCAATAACAGACAAACAGACAGCCAAATCATGAGTGAACTCCCATTCACAATTGCTTCAAAGAGAAGAAAATACCTAGGAATCCAACTTACAAGGGATGTGAAGGACCTCTTCAAGGAGAACTACAAACCACTGTTCAATGAAATAAAGGAGGATACAAACAAATGGAAGAACATTCCATACTCATGGGTAGGAAGAATCAATATCGTGAAAATGGCCATACTGCCCAAGGTAATTTATAGATTCAATGCCATCCCCATCAAGCTACCAATGACTTTCTTCACAGATTTGGAAAAAACTACTTTAAAGTTCATATGGAACCAAAAAAGAGCCCACATTGCCAAGTCAATCCTAAGCCAAAAGAACAAAGTTGGAGGCATCATGCTACCTGACTTCAAACTATACTACAAGGCTACAGTAACCAAAACAGCATGGTACTGGTACCAAAACAGAGATACTCACCAATGGAACAGAACAGAGCCCTCAGAAATAATGCCACATATCTACAACTATCTGATCTTTCACAAACCTGACAAAAACAAGAAATGGGGAAAGGATTCCCTATTTAATAAATGGCTCTGGGAAAACTGACTAGCCATATGTAGAAAGCTGAATCTGGATCCCTTCCTTACACCTTATACAAAAATTAATTCAAGATGGATTAAAGACTTACATGTTAGACCTAAAACCATAAAAAACCCTAGAAGAAAACCTACGCAATACCATTCAGGACATAGGCATGGGCAAGGACTTCATGTCTAAAACACCAAAAGCAATGACAACAAAAGCCAAAATTGACAAATGGGATCTAATTAAACTAAAGAGCTTCTGCACAGCAAAAGAAACCACCATCAGAGTGAACAGGCAAACTACAGAATGGGAGAAAATTTTTGCAACCTACTCATCTGACAAAGGGCTAATATCCAGAATCTACAAAGAACTCAAACAAATTTAGAAGAAAAAAGAACAACCCCATCAAAAACTGGGCAAAGGATATGAACAGACACTTCTCAAAAGAAGACATTTATGCAGACAAAACACACATGAAAAAATGCTCATCATCAGTGGCCATCAGAGAAATGCAAATCAAAACTACAATGAGATACCATCTCACACCAGTTAGAATGGCGATCATTAAAAAGTCAGGAAACAACAGGTGCTGGAGAGGATGTGGAGAAAGAGGAACACTTTTACACTGTTGGTGGGACTGTAAACTAGTTCAACCTTTGTGGAAGTCAGTGAGGCAATTCCTCAGGGATCTAGAACTAGAAATACCAGTTGACCCAGCCATCCCATTACTGGATATATACCCAGTGGATAATAAATCATGCTGCTATAAAGACACATGCACATGTATGTTTATTGCGGCACTATTCACAATAGCAAAGACTTGGAACCAACCCAAATGTCCAACAGAGATAGACTGGATTAAGAAAATGTGGCAAATATACACCATGGAATACTATGCAGCCATAAAAAATGATGAGTTCATGTCCTTTGTAGGGACATGGATGGAGCTGGAAACCATCATTCTCAGCAAACTATCGCAAGGACAAAAAACCAAACACCGCATGTTCTCACTCATAGGTGGAAATTGAACAATGAGAACACATGGACACAGGAAGGGGAACACCACACACCGGGGCCTGTTGTGGGGTGGGGGGGAGGGGGAAGGGATAGCATTAGGAGATATACCTAAGGTTAAATGATGAGTTAATGGGTGCAGCACACCAACATGGCACATGTATACATATGTAACAAACCTGCACGTCGTGCACATGTACCCTAAAACTTAAAGTATAATAATAAAAAAAAGGAAAATATGCTACGAAAGTCTGTTCTGCCCCAACGTTTCACCTAAAAACATCCAACCCAGCAATTCTGCACAGTTAGCTGGAGCACAACCAATTTAACAACTTTCCCTACAATATAAAACAGTAATTTGTGTTAAAGCTCAAATAGCCGTGAATAGAACAATATATTAAGTTGTTATCAGCCATCAAAATCATAGTGTAGACTTGTTTATAAATTCCTTTTCAAAAAGCAGAGAACATTAGATGAAAAGATATGGTAAAGCTAAAGGGAGGTGGTATTAATATCAATAGAAAAGATTCTTGGTATGTTTTTGGTCATAGTATCCCTACTTTTTGCATTATTACACAATGTATTTGATTTCTTTCTGGCAAATGAGTGTGCTTTATCGTAATTATGACTAATCCTTCTGGTGTTTACTTTTATCATGCTCTCACTTTCATTAATGTTTCTTTGTCTAAGCAGATAGAAAAGTAATTAGCACAAGGCAAATTTTATTTTATTTTAAGCTTTACATTGTGCTGACAGTGAATCGTCTAAGTCCATTGCTTTGGCAAATAAAAACGATGGTTAAGAGAAACATACTGAATTAGTATTTGTGGGAGTAAAGCCAGGCCCACCTACTGGGTAAATGTGACCACCACCTGAAATCTAGAGATTTCTGATGAATAAAGATAATTATGAATAATACTGCATACCTTGCCTGTTTCAGAGAATATGGCAGGAGCTCTGCATTGCCAAGAAAAGAATGTTTCTGTCTGCATGTATTCTTCTGTTTCACTCAGAAGCTTTACCTACATGTGACTCACAGAAATGTAAGTAGGGTTTTGCTGCACCATGCTGACAGAATTCACTGCAGAGGCTGATATTCTAAACAAAATCATCAGGAGTTGCATGAAATTAAATTTCAATCTGATGCCAGAACTGCAAAAGCAATTTAAATATGTACACTATTTCTAAAGATAATGCTTATGTAGTCATAAATATGAAATGCTAACAACCAGCGTGATTTAATTGGTTGAATTTTTTTCTAGGAAATTGAGATTTTTTTTCAAAGGTCTGTGTTTTTCTGGCTATTATCTGTAATGAATAATTTTTATTTCTACGTACATATTTTTCCGTGCTGGCAGAAAATAATTGTTTTGGGGAGACAAATTAACTCTTTCACTTATCCCGTTGAAAACAATGAAGTGAAATATATGCTCCTTTTCTCCCTTTACATGCCTCCCCCCAATCTCTTTCAATATGACACCCTTTTCTATGTACCTAATGTACTCCTTTGCTCAATCCTCCCCTATTCCCAACTAGTAATATATCACTCTGGCAGTACCTCATGAACCCCAACTTTCCCAATCACTTCTGCCTTCCCAAAAGATTGCTAGTCTTTGTCTCAGCTTCTCAAGGCTCCCCTCATATTAAAGGACAAACAACTCATTTTATCAAATAATGACAAAACTGTAGGTGAAATATTTAACTGATTATTCTTCTCCATTAGCCTATTATTGTTGCTATCATGTTGCATAACAAACTACTCCCTGACTCCATTGGTTTATAATAATAAGCATTTATATTTCTTACACACAGATTTAAAAATTAGCTGAGGTGTTCTGCTTCAGGGTTGGTCGAGCTTGGTTCTGGGCTCTGGTCACATAATTTTTGAGGGGCTTAGACTAAAGGGACAATGGCGTTCTGGGACATGCACTTCTCATGATGATCAGAGAAACATAGGAGACTGAGTCAAATTGTGCAAATACACTTAAGGCCTCTGCTTATATCCTGTGTGCAAGTCTTTCTTTAGTGAAAGCAACTTGAATGATCCAGCTCAATATGAAAGGGATAGGAATATATACTTCACCCCCCACAAAGCACTGCAAGTTAGAAGGCAGAAAAGGAGTAAAGAATTGAGACTCTGCATATCCTTGAAAGGAATATATTTCTTCTTCTGAGGGAATGTACTACTAAGAGCATTGTGGTTTAAGTGAAAGTATAATTTATATTGGTAAAAAATGTTGGGTCATTGTAATTTGATGTATTTCTCCAACTAATTCTCACAATGAATCTGGTGAATCCCATGAATTACATCCTGTGGATGTTGTATGTCATCAATCATATAGTAAGTATAAAATCTAATACTCTGTGCCAGACACTGTTTTAAGTGCTTTATGTATATAACTCATTTAATTATCACAATAATTACATCAGTTAATTACCATTTTGATCTCTTTTGACAGTTTAATAAAATGAGGCACAGAGAGATTTACCAATTTTTCCAAAGCCCCACATCATAAGTTATACGACATATATATATATATGCACACACACACACACACACACACACACACAAACACATATATACATACTCTAGCCCCAGATCCTGAACTCCTAATAGACTGAATATGCAAATGGACAATGACCAGACCATATATGAATGTAGAACTCTGATCTACAACCTGCAGTAATGTACCTAGAAAGCTAATCCCTTATCTATAATAACCAGCCCAGGAGGCCAACCTGCTATAAATCAGAACTGCAGGAAGTCAGGCTGTTATCACAAGTAACAATCCAAGAAGCCAGAAAATAACCACTGTAACAATCACCTCAAAATAGCCATGACTTGATTAATAACTGACAGCTTCCCTAATTTTTGTCTCTGCTTCTAATTCAGGACCACTCAGAGAAAGCCAAATATGCAGCCCTAACAAATCACATAGAATGCCCTGTTTCTAATCAGCCTGCCTACAGCTTCCCTAGGCCAACAGCCTCCTATTAGGTCATACCTGAAACCTTCTCTTTTTTCCACCATAATGCTTTCCCACTCCATTCTTGTCCTTGAGTCTCTCTGCCAAAACACAAGTGATGGTGGCTAACTCAATTGCTATAGCAAGTTCTGAATAAATAGCTTTTGCTTTTCTCATTTTGGTTGGTCTTTATTTTTAGATAATCATAACTATATTCATCATATTTAATTTAATAGAATTTGTGCACAGCATATCTAACAGAGACTAAGACTACAGTTATCACTGCAAATGGGTCATCACTGGCTCTTTAAACATTTCATTTTGATAATATGGTCCTACTGATACTTAATATTTACAGTAGTATATGTATATACCTACAGGAAGTCCAAGTCAATAATGATCAAAACAATATTAACAAAACTAATATAAAACAACAACAGTTATTTTATTAAGCAGTTATAAGTACCACACACATTATTAAAACCATTGCTTAGTTTATTGCACACTTATTACTGGGAGTATCCTCATTTCACAGGTGGAAAATTAAGGCTTAAAAAGGGTAAGCAACTTGTTGATGCACATACTGCTAGGATATTATCCAAATAAGCTTTAATTCTGGTAGTTTAACTCCAAAGTTCAAGTGAAGTGTATCAATGCCTGGTGCACAGTAGAAATTCAACTTACTAAATACTTTACTTACAAAAAGAAAGGATTATTAGTTGATCAACTCCCAACACTCAGTAAAACCTACACTGACCATGAAAATCTATCAAACCCCTGGAAACTTACTTAAGATCCACTGCTTCCTTGGATCTTCTTTTTTTACATGCATATTATTTGTGTTAATCTACATTTTTGCTATGTGTATAACCAGTTTTCCCATTTAGATAAGAATATCTTAAGAGCAGGCAATTTTTTTTTTTTTGCTTTTCCTCCAGTGTTTAGTTTAACTGTGTGCATGTTGTGAACACTCAGTAAATGCTGAGGACAAGATCTCCAAGGATGTCAGGATAACAGACTAAAGGTTCCCAGCACTCATCTCCTCCACAAACAAGGACCAAAACAGCAAGTATGTCATCACACATCAAATAGGGCATCTAAGAGAAAACAGGAATTCAGCAGGGAAGTGACAGGGGATCTCTGAGGCATAGGAGAGAAAAGCAAACCAGCCAAACTGGCTGGGATCAGTTCAGAGCCAGGAGAAACTACCCATTATAGGAAAAAAAGATAAGTGAGAGATTTCCAGCAGTCCACATTCCCACCTCAGCCTCCTGCAATCCTAGCCAAAGGAGAGCGTTTCAGTCCTTGTGGATGCTTAGATTAGTATAGAAAGCTGCCTGGAGTCCAAGCAACAGCATCGCTCCACATAGGGAGCTCACACTGAGTCCAATATACTCTGTGAGACCCAAGCAGCTGCAGCACAGTACCATTTTGAGAGCCCAGGCCCCAAAAGACAACATCCTGCTATGAGATTCAACAGTCTCTGCATCTCCACATTTTTGAACCTCTGCTAACATTTCTTCCACCCCTGCCACATCCACCCAGAGGGCGGCAATATTGCGACGCTAGATGGAGCCACTGGTGTGGCCAGGTCCCCAGCCTCTAGCCCATACAGTGTCCTATACCCCAGGGAACGAGTGGTGCAGCACACCAGGGATGCTCCCTCCTGAGACAATGGGAGTTAAAGGGATATCTCCCCAGAGCCTGAGAGCTGTTTCCCCAAGGCCACTACTCTGATAGTAGCCATGCTCCCTCTAGTGGTGGGGCTACTGTGCACCTGCATGCACCTTCAGTGGGTCTAGGGAATAGGTCTCTCTGGTCACTGTCCTGGGGGCCGAAGGACAGGCCAGCCCAGCCTTGCTCAGCCCTCTGCCACCCCTGTTAGCACCCCCTCTCACCATCTAGGGGCCCAAGGACAGGCCTGCTCCACCCACTGCCACTGTCACTGGTGCCTAAGTGCACCATTTAAGTGCCTAGGGATTTACCCACCCCACACATCACCTCCAGCACTCATGTAAAGCATATGAGGGTAGGCTTCCCAAGCCTGCTGCCACCAACCCACTCGCTAGGGCCTTGCCCACCAAGCCTGTTGCTACCAATGCTGATGCCTGAACATACCACATGGGGGCTTGAGAGTTGGCCAGCAGCTGCAACTAAACTGCCAATGCCACACATATATCTAGGAGCCAGAGAACCCACCTTCCCATCCAGCCTACTGCTGCAACTGCTAGCACCTCAGTAAGCTACTTAAAGGCCCAAGGACTGGCCCACTAGAAACTGCTACCATGAGTGCCCTTACCACCACTATTACCCTCACAAATGTGCCATTTAGAAGCCCAAGGGCCTGTCCACTCCACTCCTACTACCACTGGTCCTTGATGACCAGCTTGTCTGGCATACCTAGTCTCAAGCAAAGCCTCACACAGTCTCCACTACCAACTACAGCCCAGGCCACTGAGGGTCTCACGGACACCATTGATTCTGATTACAACCAAAAAGTTTACAGAAAGACTACATTGTTATGCCCCACCAGAATAAAAGACAAAGCACCCTACGCAACCAACACTGTAGGTACTTATACAGGAAAGTTTTTCCCCACAAGATCCAACCCATAAAATTGGAACAAGTGACTGTTACACCAAAAGCACAAATATCAATCAGTAACAAATCCTAACAAAATCTTTGAAATGCCTGAAAAAGAATTTAAAATAATGATATTTAAAAAGTCAGTGAGAAATAAGAGAATACAGATAAATAATACCAAAAAATATCAAGAAAAAAATCCATGGTTTGAATCAGAAATTCAACAAAGAGATAGATATAATAAAAAAGAGCCAAACAGAAATCCTGGAATTGAGGAATCCAATGAATAAAATAAAAATATAATTGAGAGCTTCAGCAATAGACTACATCATAAAGAAGAAATCATTTCTGAACTTGAAGACAGGTCTTTTGAAATAACCCAGTTAGACAGAAAATTAAAAAGAAATAAAAAAGAGGCCAGGCACAGTGGCTCATGCCTGTAATCCCAGCACTTTAGGAGGTCAAGGCGGGTGGCTCATGAGGTTAGGAGTTCAAGACAAGCCTGGCCAACATAGTGAAACCCTGTGTCTACTAAAAATACAAAAATTAGCTGGGCATGGTGGCACGTGCCTGTAGTCCCAGCTACGGGAGGCTGAGGCAGGAGAAGCACTTGAAAATGGGAGGTGGAGGTTGCAGTGAGCTGAGATCACACCACTGCACTCCAGCTTGGGCAACAGTGAGACTTCATCTCAAAAAAAAAAAAAAAAAAGAAAGAAAGAAAGAATAAAAAAAGAATGAGGAAATGCTAAGTGACATATAGAACACCATAAAGCAACAAAATTTTCTAATTTTGGGAGGTCCAGAAGGAGAAGAGATGGGCAAAGGCATAGGAAATCTGTTTAACAAAATAATATATGAAAACTATCCAAGTCTTACAAAAGATAGAGACATCCAAACAGAGAGCTCAAAGATACCCAATTAGATTCAACCCCAAAGGTTTTCTCCAAGGCACATTATACTCAAACTGTAAAAAGTCAAGGACAAAAGAATTCTAAAAGCAGCAACAGAAAAGTGTCAAGTCACAGATAAGGGCATCTTCATCAGACTAATAGTGAATTTCTCAGCAGAAATCTTACTAGCCAAGAGAAAATAAGATGATATATTCAAATTTCTGAAAGAAGAAACTTAAGCAAAACTATCCTTCAAAAATGAAGAAAAAATAAAGTCTTTCCCAGACAAGCAAAAATGGAAGGAATTTATTACCACTAGACTGGTTCTATAAGAAATACTTCAAGGCCGGGCGCGGTGGCTCACGCCTGTAATCCCAGCACTTTGGGAGGCCGAGGCGGGCGGATCACAAGGTCAGGAGATCGAGACCATCCCGGCTAAAACGGTGAAACCCCGTCTCTACTAAAAATACAAAAAATTAGCCGGGCGTAGTGGCGGGCGCCTGTAGTCCCAGCTACTTGGGAGGCTGAGGCAGGAGAATGGCGTGAACCCGGGAGGCGGAGCTTGCAGTGAGCCGAGATCCCGCCACTGCACTCCAGCCTGGGCGACAGAGCGAGACTCCGTCTCAAAAAAAAAAAAAAAAAAAAAAAGAAATACTTCAAGAAATCCTACATCAGGCACTGAAAGAATGATACCTGCCATCATGAAAACATACAAAAATATAAAACCTGATGGTACAACAGAGACACAACTGAGAAAGAGAAAGGAGTCAAATGCTACAACTACAGAAAACCATCTAACCACAATTATAAACAATAAGAGAAGAGGAAAGGACAAATAATAAAGAAAAAGGACAAAGAAGAGCAAAGAATGTGCAAAACCATTAGAAAACAACTAACAAAATGACAGGAATAAGTCACCTATCAATAATAACTTTGAATGTACAAAGATTTAATTTCCTACTTAACGGACATAAACTGGCTAAATGGTTTTAAAAATGTGGCCCATCTATGTGCTGCCTACAATAATCTCACTTCACCTGTAAAGGAATATATAAATTGAAAGTGAAAGGATGAAAAGATATATTCCACGTTTTAAAAAAAATAAGAGCAAGAAATAATGGCTATACTTATCAGATAAAACAGATTTTAAGTAAAAAACTATAAAAAGATAAAGAAGGTTATTATATAATGATAAAGGGATCAATTCATCAAGAGGATATAACAATTCCAAATATATATGCACTCTAAACTGGAGTACCCAGATATATAAAGTAAATATTATTAGATCTAAAGGGAGAAATAGACTCAAATACAGTAACAGTTGAGAACCTCAACATTCCGCTCTCAACATGGAACAGATCATCTAGACAGAAAAATCAACAAAAGAACATTGAATTTAAACTAAACCTTAGAACAAATAGGCTTTACAGGCATTTACAGAACATTTTCATCCAGTAACAGTGTAGTATACATTCTTGTCATCAGCAAATGGAACATTCTCCAGAATAGGCTAAATTTAGATCACACACAAAAATTCAAATTTTTAGAAATCAAAATCATATCAAGTATCTTTTTAAACCACAATGGAATAAAACTAAAAATCAATAACAAGAGAAACACTGGAAAGTATACAAATACATGGAAATTTTAAAACATGCTTCTAAATGACCACTGCAACAATGAAAAAATTAAGAAGAAAATAATTTCTGAAAACAAATAAAAATGGAAGCATGCCAAAACTTATGAGATAAAGCAAATGCAGTCTAAGAAGAAACTTTATAGCAATAAACATCTACATCAAAAAAGTAGAAAAATTTCAAATAAACAGCAATGCACCTCATGGAACTAGAAAACAAGAATAATGCAAACCCAGAATTAGAAGATGGAAAGAAATAATAAAGATCAGAGCAAAAATAGACTAAAAAAAGTACAAAGGATTAACAAAATGAAAAGTCTTTTTTTGGAAAAGATAAACAAAATAAATAAATTGCTAGCTAAGCCAATAAAGGAAAAAACAGAATACCCAAATCAGTCAAATCAGAAAGAAAAATAGGGACATTAAGCTGATAACGAAGAAATAAAAAGGATCATAATAGACTATTATGAACAACTACGTGCTAAAAAATTAGAAAACCTAGAGGAAACAGATAAATTCCTAAAAACATATAACCTAACAAGACTGAACCAGGAAGAAATAGAAAACCTGAACACACAGTAACAAGTAATAAAACTAAATTAGTAATATAAATTCTCCCAACAAAAAGAAACACAGGACTGGATGGCTTTACTACTAAATTCTACCAAACTTATAAAGAACTAACACCAATTTTACACAAACTATTCCAAGAGTTTGAAAAGTAGAAAATTCTTCTTAACTCATTATTTAAGACCAGCATTACCCGACACTAAAACCAGATGAGGGCACAAGAAAAAAAGTACAGGCCAGTATTTCTGATGAATATAAATACAAAAAAATCCTCCAAAAACACTCGCATACCCAATCCAATAGCACATCAAAAAGATAATACACCATAATCAAGTGGGGTTTATCCCAGGGATTCAAGGATGGTTAAAAAGTTGCAAATCAATAAATGTAATGCATCACATCAACAGAATGAAGGACAAAAACCATATAGTTACCTAAATAGGTGAAGAAAAATCATTTGATAAAATTCAACATCCTTTCATAATAAAAACTCTCAACATATTAGGCACAGAAGGAACATATCTCAGCATAATAAATACCATATATGGCAAAAACACAGCCAACACCATACTGAATGAAGGAAAAGCTGAAAGTCTTTTCTCTAAGAATTAGAAGAAGAGGACAAGAGGGTCCACTTTCGTCACTCCTGCTCAACGTAGTACTGGGAGTTCTAGTTAGAGCAATCAAGCAAGAGAAAAAAAATAGAGACATCCAAAATAGAAAAAAGGAAGTGAAATTTTACCTTGTTAAAAATGCCCTGCTCATATATACTTTTTCTACATACATATATACATATATATATAGAGAGAGAGAGAGAGAAATCGTGAATAATCCACCAATAAAATGCTTAGAGCTGATAAACAAATTTGATAAAGTTTCAGCATAAAAATATCAGTAGTGTTTCTACACACCAACAATGAACTAGCAGAAAAAGAAATCAAGAAAGCAATTCCATATACAATAGCTTAAAAAGTCCTAAGAAATTTAACCAAGGAGGTAAAAGACCTTTATAAGAAAAATTACAAAATACTAATAAAAGAAATTGAACAGGACACAAACAAATGGAAACATATCCCATGCTCATGAATCAGAAGAATTAGTATTGTTAAAATGGCCATAGTAATCAAAATAATCTACAGAAGCCATGCAATCCCTGTTAAATATCTATCACGTTTTTTCACAGAAATAGAGAAAACAATTCCTAAAACTTGTGTGGAACCCACAATGATCTCAAATAGCCAAAGCAATACTGAGCAAAAAGAATAAAGCTGGAGGCATTTCACCACTTGACTTCAAAATATACTATAAAGCTGTAGTAACCAAAACAACATGGTACTGGCATAAAAGCAGACACATAGACCAAAAAAACAACCGAATAGAAAATCCATAAATAAATTCATATATTTACAGCCAACTGATTTTTGGCATAGGAACCAAGAACATACATTGGGAAAATGACACCCTCTTCAATAAATGGTACTGAGAAAACTGAATATGCATTTGCAGAAGAATGAAATTAAGCCTCTATCATTTACCATATACAAAAGTCAATTCACAATGGATTAAAGACTTGAACATAAGATCCAAATCTATAAAATTACTAGAAGAAAACATAGTGGGAATACTCCAGGATATTGGTCTAGGGAAGGATTTTATGGCTAAGACTTTAAAAGAACAGGCAACAAAACCAAAAATGGACACATGGGTGCATTTATGAAACTAAAAAGCTTCTGCACAGTGAAGGAAACAATCAACAACGTGAAGAGATAACCACTAGAATGAAAGAAAATATTTGCAAACTATTAATTCAACAAAGAACTAATATATAGAATATTCAAGGAACTTAAATCAACCACAAAAATACAAATTATTCCATTAAAAAGTGGGCAACAGATTTGGATAGGCATTTCTCAAAAGAAGATATACAAATGGCCAACAGGTATATGAAGAAATGTTCAACATCAGTAATCATCAGGCAAATGCAGCTCAAAAGTACAATGTTTTCTCACCTCAGTTACAATGGCTTTTATCAAAAAGACAAAAAAATAACAAATGCTGGCAAGGATAATGAGAAAAGGGAACTCTTACATGCTGTTGGTGGGAATGTAAATGGGTATATCCATTATGGAAAACAGTATGGAGTTTTCTCAAAAAACTAAAAATAGAACTATCATGTGATTTAGCAATCCCACTACTGGGTGTTTATTTAAAGGAAAGGAAATTAGTACATTAAAAGGATACCTGCACTTGCATGTTTATTGCAACATTATTCACAATAGCCAAGATATGGAATCAGCCTAAGTGTCTATCAACGTATGAATGGATAAAGAAAATGTGATATATATATATACAACAGAATACTAGTCATCCACAAAAAAAGAATGAAATTCTGTCATTTGTTGCAACATAGATGGAGCTGGAGGTCAGTAAGTTAAGAGAAATAAACCAGATACAGAAGGACAAATATTGCATGTTCTTACATGTAGGAGCGAAAAAATTGATTTCACTGAGGTAGAGAGTAGTACCAGAGGTGGAGAAGGGTGTGAGGCATGAAGAGCATTTGATTAATAGCAGAAAACTTACAGGTAGACAGAATGAATACGTTTTATTGTTAAATAGCACAGTATAGTGACTGTAGTTAACAATAATCTACTGTATATTTCAAAATACCTAGAAGAGAAGATTTGAAATGTTCCCAACACAAAAAATGTTAAGTGTTTGAGGTGATGGATATCCTAAATAACCTGATTTGATCACATTGCATACATGTGTCAAAATATCACATGTATAGGATAAGTGCACATAAATATACAATTATTATGCATCAAAAAAAGGTCACCAAGAGAAGGTATAATTTTTAGTTATGAAAAATGGCTACAGGTTTAATTAAAGGCAGGGGAGAAGAGAACATTCCAGTCATGGAAAATACCATGCCCTAAGGAAAAGCAGTGGGAAAGGTAAGACATGTAGGACTGCACATGAATAGATGTAAGAAAAAAAGTTTTATGCAATGAAATCTTGACCCTCATTTCTGTTATGCCTTCAGTGTACATGAAGAATGTCTGGCCGTTAGTGGATGATCAGAGAAGAATGGGAAATAACACATGTGCTTATTTTGGAACCAAAACTTCAAAATGGCAGTTCTACAATTTACATTTTTAGGGGTTGAATTATCATGACTAAATGCCGTTTTTCTTCATATGTGATGTCTGTTCGTGTGACAACACGACATTTTATAAATAACACATTATACCATTCTGTACTTCTGTACTTTTCAGAAGAAAATATGCCTGCTGTCCACCCCATTTCATTTTTTTTTTTTTTTTTTTTTGAGACGGAGTCTTGCTCTGTCGCCTAGGCTGGAGTGCAGTGGCGCAATCTCGGCTCACTGCAAGCTCCACCTCCCGGGTTCAAGCCATGCTCCTGCCTCAGCCTCCCGAGTAGCTGGGACTACAGGTGCCCACCACCATGCCCGGCTAATTTTTTGTATTTTTAGTAGAGACGGGGTTTCACTGTGTTAGCCAGGATGGTCTCGATCTCCTGACCTTGTGATCCGCCCGCCTCTGCCTCCCAAAGTGC
Organism: Homo sapiens; assembly: GCF_000001405.40. NCBI lineage: Eukaryota > Metazoa > Chordata > Mammalia > Primates > Hominidae > Homo > Homo sapiens. The sequence continues at coordinate 49,498,476 of NC_000002.12, forward strand.
TGGGATTACAGGCGTGAGCCACCGTGCCCGGCCTGTCCACCCCATTTCTTTGTTGATGCCTCATTGCTTTACCCCCTCAATAAATTATTCACTATTCCAAAAAATTATGCTTGCATTTTTTTTTTCTTTTCCCAAACAAGGCCATGGAAACACTGAACTCTCTCTTGTAAACCACTGAACTACCAGTTCTCTTTTCTGAAGACTCATGGGTGAGCTTGTAGTCCATAGTATTATAAAAGTAAGAAGATTTTTCACCTCTCTGCCATTTTCTAACACTGGGATCATCCTTAATTAGTCTTTTCCCCGCTTTCTTTCTACTTGGGTTAAGACAATTTTCACATCAAACATCTCCCTATTATTATCTCCCATTTTGTTATCTGGATTTGTTTCCAGTCCAGAACACGTACATATACATCCCAAGAATATGAAAATCTATGAGGTATTTTCACAGATTTGGCAGTTGACTCCTAAGGTGCTTCCCTCAAGGAACAGAGACAATGCAGACACAAGAAAACAACTAGAGTGGGCTTTTCTTTTCAAACAGCTGTGCCAGAACAAAGCCTAAGAGATAATTGGGGCCAGTGTATCATGGTTTATAAAGCGTTTCACTCAGCAGTTGTTACTGTCTTTCTTCACAAGGTTCATTGCTAGGTACTGTGAAGGTACATGGATGGCAAGACTACTGTTATTACCATGAAAAACTTGTAGTATAACATATAAGATCAGAGCATAATTACATCATAAAGAGTGATGAGAATTGTCAGAAAAGTAGAAATAAAGGGCTATGGAACTTGAAAGAAGCAGAGGATTATTTTTTCCTCGTCAAGGGTCAATCATACTTTCTGAAAAATACAATATTTGACTTCTGCCGTAACATTTGGACAGAAAGCATGCAGCAATAAAACTGCACACCCAGATGTGTTGACCCATAGAGAATTAGTAAATATCATTGGCCATGTCAAATCCTTCTTTTCTCCTCACTAGGAATCATTTCATTTAACTTCACTATTCCTGATCGCAAGGATTTCAAGCACATGAAAATCAACAATATAAAATAACCTAGTTGATTAAGCTGATTTCAAGTTTTTACTGTTGTTGCATTGCTTGTGACCATTCCACTCATTTTGATAACTATAGAAAAATAACCTAAGAAACAGTTAAATAATTAATGGTGCCTAAAGTCGCTTTCTACCACAACATTCTAGTTCTCTCTTTCACCATAAATCTTAAGTGTGCTTTAAGACTCTAATAGCACTTTAGTGAGCATGAAATGGGATTATGATTGTGAAAGTAACCAGAAATAAAAACATAAGTTTACTAGCTATGTTATTCTAAAATAGAAATACTTAGGGATGGGAGGATTCTCAAATCAGAGATGCAAAGATTCTGTGAGGATTTAAAACTCATCATCTAGCTGCTGAGACGTCTATTTCTTTTCCTTTATTTATTCTGTGCCGAATTAAATTATATGTCTATATTATGAAGTAGCCTGCATTTTTCCATTTCAAATTTTCTAATACATAAGAAATGATTAACCTTATAATAGCTGTGATTCTAGATGACCAAACTGCCCTTTTCCTTATTAGTGATTTCAATTTGTCTGACATATATTGGGTCACTGACAATAAGCAGTCCAACCTTTAATTTAAATTGACTATACTCTGCTTAGAAGAGAAAATCATCTCAATCTGTAATTAAAATGTCATAATTTCTTGACGCATGTGTACTTCTGAGTGATAGGTTACCTGTAGTTCACTCATCATGACCAATTTAAACAGAAATATACTCCTATTATTCCATACGTTATCAAAAATACCATCCAATACACCAAATTTAATTGATTGTTATCTAACCATAATGTGCTGTTACAAAGAGTATTGTTCATATGTCAATGTTTCTAAATCACTCTGCACATGTTGTGAAAGTGGGAGTAACATTTCAGATATTTTATTCACATCAAATTATTATGATAGTGAGGCAGAAATATGAGAAACAATTTATTTCAATGGAGATAAATTGATCAATGTTTAGTATATATTACATAGAAAAACTATTTCCTATGAAAAAATGATCCAGAGGAATCTGAAAGGTATATTGAAAATTAATTTTTCAAATGTTAACATAAAATACTCTCACATATTAACATGATTTCAAGGAGAGAAACTGTTTTTGATACTTTAAATAAAATTCAGAAGTAACAAGGATCTTAAACTATATGTGTTATTTGGCTAAGCAATGCTTACCAAGCTTCAAAATCATGGTGATTTTCAATCCTGAGGTTTTGTTTCTTAAGTTTATATTTTAAATAACAGCTAAGCACATTTTATGAACTGCAACACTAAGAAACCATCTGTACATTTTTATATAGGCCTCTTAAATTTTGTTAAATTTGTCAGTTGCTAAGCTGTGGTTTTTCAAATCTTTGAATGGTAGCTCTCAAGAACAAAAGCCACTGTGGTTGTAGGTGAAAACATTCCAAATGTCTATTGTTACTTTAATAGGCATCGGGAAAAAATAAAAGCATGAAATAAGAGGTGTGTCTACATACTGCCAAGATATCCCATAAATGTAGAGAATTTTGTTAGTCGGTTGTTGAAATGATTCTGTGGGCTAGAAGCCACCAAATGTTGGAGGGCTAATGTTATTTTTCATATCGATTTACAGATGGTATTTGGTAAAGATCATGGCCCCCTTCCCACCTAGCTCAACACACATACCTGAGTGTTCTTGGCTGGTTTATTACTGGGAGTACCTGGTAGGGGTAACAATTTTGATTTTGCATAAAGTTAGCCTAGGCCATAGAGATTATTCTTAGCCTGGCTTGTACTTATGTGTCACTGAACAGGCAGTGGGAATCAGCAGAATTCTGTCCTCAGCTTGCCTTTGAAGTGTGCTTCTCTTCTGTTAGGAATAAATGCCCAAGGAACTGTTTCTTCAAGCCTAAGCACACTGTGCCAGGATTTTTGACCTGGAACTCAGCCCCTGTTGAAATTGTGTGTGCATGTTTGTGTGGCAAGGAATTTAGTCCAGAACTTCTAGCAAATTGTTTTTAAACTTTTAGTTCCATCAAAGTACTTGGGGTAGTACTTGGTAAAAACTTAATCTAAGATTTTCCCTTTATCTTTTTCCTTGTATCGTATTTCCTCATTTCTTATCATTGTTAATATTGTTCATTTCAACTAAATCATTTCATTTAATTATGACTGGTAAAACAGCAACATTACTAACAAGATAACAAGAAGTAACCTATGTTGAACATGCATGCGTACATAAATAAACATGTATATTACATATTTTTTCTTAACTATTTGTGACCCCTAAATAATTTAGTGTATAATTCCTGAGAACAAGGACAGTCTCTTTTACAACTACAGAACTTTCAACATGAATTGACATTAATACAAGGCTATTACATAATCAGCAGGACTTAAATTTTGACACTTTTTCCCCAATAATGTATTGTATAGTCATCCCCTTCTCCCAAGTTTCAGTCTAAGATCCAATCCAGGATCACTCATTCCATTTAGTTGTTTGATCTCAGCTGTCCCTCGAATCTGGTACATTTCTTCAGTTATTTGTTTCTTCTTTTATCACCTTTACATTTTTGAAGAGTACAAACTAATTATTTTGCAGTATATTTGGGTTCATCTGAGGTTTCTACAAGATTAATTTCATGTTATGAATTTTAGGGATAGAGATAACACAGAAGTGATTTGATGTCTTTCTCTTTTGAGAAGCTGCAGGATGTGAGTTTGTCCCGTGACTGATATTAACCTAAATCACTTGGTTAAGGTTGTATCTGCCAGGTGTCTCGCTGAAAAATTACTACTTATTTTATTTGTAATTAATAAATGTTTTGTGGGAAGATATTTTGAATCTATGCAAATATGCTATTTCCTCATCAAAATTTTACTTACTAGATTTAGCATCCATTGATGTTTCTTGCCTGACTCAAGTTTACTATGATGCTGGCCAAGTGGTGATTTTTTTCTCTGCACTTCTTAATTGGCATTTTACTACCAAAAATTAGCTTTTTCTTCTCTATTTGTCTGTTTATATAATTATATAAGAGTTTGACAAACTCTTGTCTCAATTTGTTGGTTTACAGTCTGTGTGAACATGGAGACACACTCCTCAAATCTCCTTTCAAGCTAAGTTGGTCTGCAGATGTGGTTTTGTGACAGACTCCAGTTGCTGTCCCTTCAGATACACTGCAATATTCACATGAAGATTATGGTCTCCCAGAGTTGCTCCTGGCCAATGCCTGGGTGTGGCAGAGGTATTGGAGTTGGGCCATTTGCACCCACTACAACACTGTTGTAAAGGGACAATCTTCGCTAGGGTTACTATCAATTTGCGCAAAACTTTCTTTCTCAGAGCTCCATTGCAGACTGCAGCTCTTCTCGGGCAATCCTTTTTTTTTCCTCCTCTCTCTTAACAGAAGTCAATCTCCAAGCGCATTGGTGGCTCTCCCTGTGTACTTCTACTCCCTGTCTTCTTTATCCTTCATAGACATTTGCCCCAGTAAATCTATTGTACTTCTAATTCCGCCTTGGGGTGTGTTTTTTTGGAGGACAGAAACTGACACATTCTGCTACTATCATTATTTATTCTGATGGTAAAATTATCCCAGATTAACCAATACGAGTTGCTTCAAGTTGGCTTCTGTGTCCTTTTTTTATCTTTTAATTTTGAAATAATTGTAGATTCAATCAGAAGTTGAAAAATAATATAGAGAGTTACTGCTGTGTAGCCTTCACCCTGCTTCTCTCAATGATAACATTTACATAACCATCACAAAGTTATCAAAACCAGAACATGGACATTAGAAACATATTAAACTGCAAACATTTTTCAGATTTCACCTGTTTGTCCGTGCACTCATTTGTATGTGTATGTGTGTATGGTTCTGTGAAATACATCTTTGTGTGATCACTACCACAATAAGGACACAGAACTGTTCAGTCAACCAACCCAAGGAAATTTACTGGCGATACCTTTTTGAAGTTGCAGTTTCCCTCCAAATCTAATCCCTGGAACCACTAATATTTTCTCCGTCATCATGATGTTACCATCTTGAGAATGTTTTATAAATGGAATCACATAGTATATAACTTGTTGAAATTTTATTTCACTCACATAATTCCCAAGAGATCCACCAAGTGGTTGCATGCTGTTTCAATGGATGCTGCTTCCTCATCAAAATATTACTTACTCGTTTAAGTACCCACTGATGATTCTTTCCTGACTCAAGTTTTTCTATGACTGCAGCCAAGTAGTAAATTTATTTCTACACTTATTAACTGGCATTTTACTGCAAAAGACTTTTTTTCTTCATTTGTCTATATGTATTAATTATATCATAGATCCGTGGACTCTTCTTTTAATTTGATGGGTTATATTCTATATTGTAATCATGGAAATACACCCCTCTGATCTCCTTTTATACTTTTCCTTGTTGAGTAATATTTCACTGCATGGATATATCACGTTTTGTTTTTCCATTCATCCATTTGAGGGCATTCGTGGTGTGTTTCTAGTTTGGGGCTTGCACAAATGTTCCGCTATAAACATTCATGTCCAAGTGTTGTGTGTGTGAACATCCATTTTAATTTTTCTTAAACACTAAGGAGTCCTATGATAATAACACAGTCATGGTTGGGTCGTATGACAATTGTATATTTAAGTTATAAAAAATTACCAATCTGTTTTTCAGAGTGGCTGTACCACTTTATATTAGTGCTTCTTTGTCATTTTGATATAGCCTTTCATTCTTTGAGTGCTTTGTAACTTTCTGGAACAATATGATACTCCAGGGTTACCTTTTGCTTTCTCTGCTCTGGAATCAACCAATTCCCAAGCAGCTCTAGTTCCTTTTAGTAAAGAACGACATTTAGAAATCAAGATCGTGCTCCAGGTAAGCTTATGATCAGTGCGGCATGTGCACATGCACATACACACATCTACATTTATCTCTAAATCAATTAATTTAGAATTATTTATCTAATCTTTAATTTATAGTACTTCCTTCAATTCTAGTCCAGCATCACCAAGTCCATTCTAGTCTCCTCCATTTGTATATTTTTAATTCCTCTAATAGTGAAAAACCTGGCTCCTAGTATTTTTGTTATATGTATTTACTTAGTCATAGAGACACAGAGAATAGTTTCAACAATTTTCACCCATATCACATAAGAAATACCTACCAATTTAGTTCAATATCTGTATATGGCAAGTAGGTAAAATACAGTGTTAAAATTACTTGGGTTATTTCTTTTTTTTTCTTATTTGATTGTAATAAAGTCATTAATAATACAGTTAGTTTCATTTGTTCAGGTTTCCGTCCCACTTCATAGCTGTTGTCCATTCTTGATAATATCTCTATACCTATCTATTCATCCATCTATTTATCTGGTGCAATATTCTGCTTTTGAATTTGAGCCTAGTGTTATGTATAAACAAAAAAATTCAGGTTTACTAAAAAAAGATTTCAACTAAAATAGTTATAAGAAAATGATATCACATATCCATTATGATTAAAGTCTGTGTGGGCCCTTCCAATAGTGCAGACTGTGGCTCACTCTTATGGGTATCTACTATCCTTGATGTTTACCCCTCATGTGCTTTTCTTTTGAGGGGTAGCGGGTGTAAATAGGTATCCCTAAACATGTTTTACATGTTTTTGAACTTTTTTCTGTCAATGGGATTAATGGTATTCAATTTGTTTCTCATTTACGTTTGTTTAACTTTTTTTCTGTAATTTCAAACAGTGCTGCAATAAACCATCTTGTGCTGTCTCACTGCACTCATGAGCAATAGATTCCTTAGGTCCTTGCAGGTAGATTTGCTAGGTTATAGAGTACAGGAGGTACTTGAATATTGTTGTTCATTATAACGTCAATGAAAAACACGATTCCTGGCTAGGGCTACTTTCTGTGTGAAGTGTGCATGTTCTCCCCATGTCTGTGTGGGTTTTCTCTGAGTACTCTGGTTTCCTCCCACATCCCAAAGATGTGCACATCAGGTTAGTTGGCAGGTCTAAATTGTCCCAGTCTGAATGGGTGTGGAAGTGTGTATGAGTGTTCCCTGTCCAAATTTGGCTCCCATCTTGTGCCCTGAGCTGCTGGGATAGGCTCTGGGCACCTGCAACCCTGAACTAGAGCAACTGTGTAAATAATTATCTTACCTGTTTTTATTAATCTTTTAAAAATGTATGCATAGCTCACATTTTTTCAATGTTTATTATAAGTGCTTTGGGTCTTTATATAAAAATGTGGTGATGTTTTGTGACCAGAAAGTTGCTGCAGGAACTTACCTCTAGTTTGTATCGATTAGCCTATAGTAAAATTGATTTTGTTATATGTTGTTTCACTTAAAATTGCAGTTTCCAAGAAACTATCAATGCCATTAAGTGAGGACTTACTGTGCAGACAACTTAAACTTCATGCAGATATTGATTAGGAGCTTTTCAAAATGGTTCTACCAATTTACACTCCTACTGCAAGTAAGTGTCCTAGTTACTCTATATTCACCAGTAATTGCTATTGTGGGACATTAAACATTTTTCATTGAAGTTTGTAAAATAATAATCTCATTTTGGTTTTCATTTTCATAAAAATGATGAGTAAATTTTGTCATCTTTTCATAAAATTACTGGCCAGTAGGGTTTACTTTTCTGTGAGCTGCTGATACAGCATCTTTTTTTGTACCATTAAATTGGTTTTCTAACCTTTTTCTTATGAATTTAGGAAGAATTTCTATACTCAGAATTCTAGTCAGTTTGTAATTAGGTTTTGTAAATACCTCCTTACTACTTTGGCTCCTCCACTCCCACTTATTAAATGATGTATTTGTATGGAAAAAAAATTTTAATATTCTTTTATTCTTACCACTTTTTATTTATGTTTTGTATTTCATGTCTAATTTAAAAAGTTCTTCCCAAGCCTTAAATAACAAAGATATTTCTTTATATTGTAAGACTCATATTTAGGTTAACCAGTTACTTTAAATTGATTCTGGCTATTATGTGAAATGGAGATCAGGTTTTATTTCCCACTATGCATTATATTGGTCCATAATTATTTCCAAAATCCTTTTCCTACTTACCTGCCATGCCACTTATTTCATAGATCCAGTTTCCACATATGTGTGTGTATCTTTGTTGGCTTTCTATTCTATTTCTTTGTTAATCTGCTCCCATACAGATACTCACTTTCTTCATTAAAACAGGTTTATAAGATTTACTATAAAGCAAATTCTTCTGTTCTTCAGAAATACTTTTTTTATGTTTTGTTTTCCCATATTAACTTTAGAATCAGCTTGTCAAATTTCATTAAAATCTCTGTCAGGATCTTTTTGGGTTTTCACTGAAAATATAGATTATTTTATTGAGAATTGCTATCTCCATGATATTGAAACTGTTAATGAATATATTTATTTTTATGTAGGTCATCTTTAATATTTTTCAATAAAGTTTTAAATTTTCTTTATAAAAATTATGAACATCTCTGTTTATACTTAACCTTAGGATTCTTTTATATTTAATGCTGAGACCAATGATAGATATATATTTTAAAATACATTTACTATTGTTGTTAGTATATAGAAGTGCAATTTATTTTTTTATGTGGATCATACATGCTGATATGGTTTGGCTCTGTCCCCACCTAAATCTCATCTTGAATTCCCACGTTTTGTGGGAGGAACCTGGTGGGAGGTGACTGAATCATGGGGATGGGTCTTTCCCATGCAGTTCTCATGATAGTGAATAAGTCTCATGAGATCTGATTATTTTAAAAACGGGAGTTTCTCTGCAAAAGCTCTCTCTCTTGCCTGCTGCCATCCATGTAAGATGTGACTTGCTCCTCCTTGCCTTCCACCATGATTGTGAGGCCTCCCCAGCCATGTGGAACTGTAAGTCCATTAAACCTCTTTTTCTTCCCAGTCTCGAGGATGTCTGTATCAGCAGTATGAAAGCAAACTATAGCTTGTTGACTTCTTATTAATGCTAATCATTTGCCTGTAGATTCTCTTAGGCTTTCTATGTAGGCAATAATAACAACATATCCAAATCATGACATCTTTTTTTCTTTTATCTCAGGTCATATACCTCTTAATTATATCTATATCTATATACATATACATATATATATATTTTTTACTATGCTAGAAAGAAGATCTGGTATATTACGAAATAAAAGTAGTAATGGCAAGTGTCTTTGTCCCATTCTCAATACTAAAAGAAGTGTGTCTAATGTTTGACATTATTATGACTTTACTGTGGATTTATGGATACTCTTTATGAGAAAAAAATTCCTCTATTTCCGTAATTTCCTAAGTTTTTTTCTTTTTGTTTATTTATATGTATTGGTGTTGAATTCTATTTAATGCTTTTAAAGCAACTATTGAGATGATAATGTGGATTTTCTCCTTTAATCTGTTTATGTGATGAATTGCATTAACAGAGTTTTATAACTAAAGCCAACTCTGTATTCCCAAGATAAATCCAACATAGAGATGACACATGTTGATTTTCAAATTAATTTCTAGATTCAGTAGCTTATATTTTATTGAGTAATTTTGCATTAATATTCATTAGTGATATTGGCCTATAAAATTCCTTTTTAGTGCTGTTCTTGTATGTTTTAGTATCAATGTCATATTGGCCTTGAAATAATTAGGAAGTTCTACCTCTTTCTATTTTCAGTGTCCAATATAACCCTACTGATACCCACAGTTTGACTAGAGTTTAAATAGGTTTATTTATGACAATAGGTCCCCTGACCTCCCTTTTCTTAGAGCAGTTGCTTTAGAAAATTTGCAATTAGAAATTCTTTCCTTATCCCTTTGAGATGTAACTCCTCTATAAACTTGGAAGGCGTTTCTCGAAGATCGAGGAGCCATCACTTTGAAATAAAATAAATATTGAACTTATACTGATACTTATTCAGTCATCAGTTTTCAACATTTCTATTTAACTTAAACAAACTCCCCAGTACCATATGTGCACATCACCTGTCCTATCTTCTGCAAACAGTTGTATCAATTTGGGGGAGGTAAAATGCATTAAAACTCTTGTTAATCTGACCAAAGAAGTAACATATGAGTTATTCTACTTCTTTCTTTTGAATCATTCCAGAGTCTTCCCCTGTCCTGCTCCCATCTGGTATGACTGTTCTCTCAGTGTCTGCTCTACAGCTGACCTCCTTGCTCTTCCTTCATCTTCACCCTGGAAATTCTTTTCCCTTCTCTTTTGCATTAAAGCAAATGCTTTTGTTTCTGGGTTGTATCATTGTATCCTCTTGGTTTATTCTTTGTATTTTTTTCTTTAAGTTTTGGGGCATCATTTCTAGGATGCAGGGCAGATAAAATATCTCTATCACAAGTCAGAAAATATCCTTCTTGTATCTTACAATAGGTTGACAAATTAGTTAAGCACAGAATTCTGAGTTGGATGTAACTTTACTCAAATTTTTGAAGGTATTGCTTTCTTACCTTCTATATTTAGCTATGGCCACTCATAATTCTGAAGGCAATGTGAACCTTAATTCTTTTCCTCTGTGACCTAATTTTATCACCTCCCCTAAAATAGTCATTTTTATTAGAATTCTGAAATTTCAAGATGATGTATCTTAATAAAAATTTTATATCTGTTTTCTTTTATTAATGATCTGTATACTTAGAGGGCCCTTTCAGTCTGGAAACTCAAGTCCCTCAATTCTAAGAAATATTTTAAATTTTTTTTGTTTTTTTTTTGAGATGTAGTCTTGCGCTGTCGCCCAGGAGTGCCACAGCGTGATCTTGGCTCACTGCAACCTCCATCTCCCGGGTTCAAATGATTCTCCTGCCTCAGCCTCCCATGTAGCTGGGATTACAGGTGCCCACCACTTTGCCCAGCTAATTTAATTTTTGTATTTTTAGTAGAGACGGGGTTTCACCATGTTGGCCAGGCTGGTCTCGAACTGACCTCGTGATCTGCCTGCCTTGGCCTCCCAAAGTGCTGACGTTATCAGTTACAGGCATCAGCCACTACGCCTGGCCCTGATTTATTCATTTTATAATTTACTCCAGTTTTTTCTTCTTTTTCTCTTTCAGAAAGTATTATTCTTCATTTCAAAGTTGAATCTTCAGGAAAAGTCATCGAATTTTGATCTCTTTATTTTCTTTTGCTATTGCTCATTCATTGTATATTTGTTCTATTTTTTAATTTACTCAACTCCATTGCCTAAACAGCTATTAAATTATTTCTTTAATAAATTTTAATTCTCAAGAACTATTTCTTTTTCTGTAATCGTCCATTTATTTTAGCATCCTGTTTTTTTTTCATGTGTATCTTCTCTCATCTCTGGTGATATTAATTGCAGTTCTTTTTAAAAGCTTTGTATCACATTGATTGTATTTATTTTTTAACTTTTCTTGTTTTGCCTTTTCTTTTATGCTAATGGTTTCCCAATATATCTTAAATTCTTACCTGCCTTTCATATCTAAGAATGAGACCAAGGCATTGAAAGTTTGATTGGAAACTGTGTGCCTAATTAGGAATTTTGACCAGAGAAATTCAGTGGAGAGTTATCAGGCAGAAGCTCTGGCATTTCATCAAGGTACCCAAAGTGTCAGAATCTCAATATATCTGAAGCAATGTCTCTGAAGTAATTACATATTTTTAGGTTATCCTGCAATATTCTGACTGAGTAGGGGACAGATGATAGGCCTGTTTATAGGTTTTTAAAAAGGTAGAATTGTCTCATCACTCATTATAAATGAGACAGTTATTTTGAAATAGCAGAATTCAATAGAGTATAATTCCATAAAGAAATTTTGGGGACACATTTTGGGTTTCTAAGCAAATCCCCTCACTGGGAACCTGCGTTTACATTTACCATATTCTGCAATGCATTTTTTCTAGTGGTCATTTTTTCTTACTCCCTCTAACCCTAAGTTTCTGGCAATGCAAATCCTCCCTATGGGTCTCATCATCAGGCTCTCTCAAATAGAATTTTAAAAGGCCCCCAAGCCTCTTCCTACTCTTGGGTCCTCATCTGGTCCTCATAACAGGCTCCTGTGACTCATTATCTAAGAATGTATATCTACTTTACAGTGCCAGTCTCTTTTTCGCTACTCAGGACCAGGCCATGGTTCTGGCACCAGTCTCTGCTTCCTGAAAAGTCCAGTGAATACACACCAGAGTCTCTCAGGAGTTTTCCTGAAGCTCCTTTCATGCATTTTAGGCTGATTGTTAAGCAGTCCCTTTCCTTTTCCCATGGGGGAAAGGTTGCAAAGAGATTTTCTCTGAAAATAAAACTCCTTCTTGGCATTTCAAATCTTTTATGCGCTCTCAAGGTAAAAGTTGGGCTACAGAAAACAAACTGGCCTTCAACGCACTGCCTTTCAAAGTTTTTCTTAGGTGGTTCAGCATCTAGCTATTAGATACAGTGTTTGGTCTAGGCATCCAAAGCTTCAGACAGAACTGAAATGGAATCTTAATTTGAGATCACGTTACCATCTCCTTTATCTCTCAAATAAATTGTTTATAAAAAAAATAAAGAGGCTGGGCACAGTGGCTCATGCCTGTAATCCCAGCATTTTCGGAGGCTGAGGTGGGCGGATCACCCGAGGTCAGGAGTTCGAGAGACCAGCCTGACCAATATGGAGAAACCCCGTTTCTACGAAAAATACAAAATTAGCCGGGCATGGTGGCACGTGCCTATAATCCCAGCTACTCGGGAGGCTGAGGCAGGAGAATCGCTTGAACCCCGGAGGCAGAGGTTGCAGTGAGCCGAGATAGAGCCATTACACTCCAGCCTGGGCAACAAGAGTGAAACTCCGTCTCTAAATAAATAAATAAGAAGAAAACATTGCTTACAGTTACGTTCTGGCCAGAGTTCTGCATATTTTCATAATATCCAGAAGTTTATCTTGTTTTTGTTATGTGATATTTCAATTTGTTTTTGACTCTTGATACTTACAGATTTCACCGTTTTGGTTCTTCCCTCTGTGGTCAAGTTTAGAGCAAAGAAAATCCCACTTTAATATCATGTTTTGTCAGGACTTTTACGTGATCTTCATGAAATCATGTCAGTATGTCAGTATTATTTGGTTTATTATCCCCCAATGTTCCATGATTTGAGGTCTCTCCAATCTCGGGTTTTGAGAGAAAACTCTTTTCTTCTGCCACAGTAGGAGAAGAATTGCCATTTTGCTGTGACTGTTAAGGAAGAACTGTAAAGCATTAATTGCTACTTAAACTGACCCTTAACCAATTTTTTGCCCTTCACGCCACCTTTAAAGGTATCTGGTACCATCAAACTGGTGTCTCCACACCAGACATGTTTAGTGGATTACCACTTTATCAACGTCTGCAGTAATTCAACCTTCTCAGACACCAACTTAACTCATTTACAAAAGAACTGGGTTATGCAATCTCATGTCAAAGGTTTTATGGCTTTTCATTCATCAAAATAAGTTTCTCCGAGGTAGAATTCAGTAGCCACCTAAACTTTCAATAAAATTAGTATACTAGCTTTCTATTTCTGGCAAAAGAAATGTTTTCCTAATGATCATGATTTCACTTCCTAAAAAGGCTGATCAGTTATGCCTTAATGCACAGATCTTCATACTGACACATTCTCAGTTGTCTGGAAACATTTCACTGCATTTTGAATGTAATGTGTTTTAACTGTCTACTGGCACAGTAGATTTATGTGACCCAAATAACAGGACTTGCAGTGGTTCTGTCAAAGCTTCATCTCAGCAACTTCAACTGGGAAAATTTTATTTTCCAAAAAAATTAAGGAAAGATTTCTTGAAACAACAAAAAAAGATACTAATTCTTATACTCAGTGTTGATCTATGAAATAAGCTTAGAGGGGATTTCATTTGCACATCTCACCAAGGGGCTGCCACATATATTAGCTCATTAGCCCTCCACTGTTTCCCTTTTCCCTGGAGATGAATATTTCAAATTGGCTTTAAATTGATCGTTTCCTCCTTTAACTCACCCCAAGTCTAATACTAATCATAACTAGAATCACTGGACTGAAAAATTAGCATGAATATAGATGAAGGGACTCAGTATTTACTGAACATCTTCCATGTTTCAGACACTTTATATGCGTTGTAAATGAAGTAATTTTCAAACATTCCTAAGAAGTAGGTACTATTCTTCTAATTTTCTAACATTAATAATGAGGAACCGGAGGCTTGAAAAGCAGGGTCTTATAGTTAGTAGTTGTGGTCCAAATACTAAAATATGTTCCTCTCACTTTAAATCCCATGCTCCATGCTTTACATAGCTTTGCACGAAGGTCAACATGGAGTAAAAGACCCTTCAATTTCACAGGTAATCTCTTGAGGTCTGACTAATTTCTGCAACCTGCCCATGACTTCTTTGGGGAGAGCTTTGTCCTCTATGAATAAATGAAACTTAATTTTCTTGCCTGAGCAGATAGAAAAGTTATAATTCAATTTGTAAAGATTGTTAGAGAACCAAAAAGCATCTCTCTGTCTCCCATATGCAAGCATGTGCATATACACACCCACACCCCGACATCACATCACATCACATCACATCACATCACATGATCCCACAAAGCAATTACATTATAATGGATCTGAATGGATATACTATCAGTCCTAAGAGCCATAAAGGCAGAAAGCAGATTTTCACTATGACCCAAGGAATTTATCTTATTATCATTATTTTATTTTTAAAAATAGGTGTGTAGATTAGACTCATGTTCTCTGCTTGGATTTAAATCATGAAAAGTTTTAATAAAGTCAACCTTCAAGATGCTACATCAATTTCAGTTAGCTGAAGAAGACAAAAAAAAAGGAATGAGTGCTGTTTATAAATATTGGCAAATTAATATATATTAATGCTATTTTTTCAAGACTTTGATTTGATATTGTGATAACCCATTTGTTGTTAAATATGTGAACATGTTCATATTCTTTATTAATATAAATAATTATTTTTATAGCCTGGATGGTTTTATTAGTAAACCTACTCCCAGTCCCTGGAAAGGCAAAGGAAGACATTATTATTAAATAAACACTTTTAAAATTCAAATATCTGCCCTCATGCCCTCTACTTCTTTAGCATGAAAACTGTTCTATTTGTGGAAGTGTAGACAGGACCAATAAAATACAATTTTCTGGGCCTACTTCTCCTATTAAACAATAATTCCTCAGAGGTGAGAGATTTCAGAATGAGAAACTAAGGTGATTATCTATGTTTTGTTTTAATTTTTGGTAGAAGCATAAGAAATACATAAATGACTTTTGACTCTTCTCTCCTTTAATAAAGTGATGAATTCAAACTGTTCATCTAATAGGTCATCTAAGGAAATGCACATTGAGTTCAACTTGTATGTGGATGAAGAAAAACATATGGACATCCCTAGCCCACACACACAAAATGCACAGACACAAACACAAGATTTAAGTCAACTGAAAACACTGTAAAGTCAAAAATGAAGAAGAATATGTTTTAACAAATGTTTTTTATCAGATACAGGTTACAGCTGCAAGAACTATAAATGTTTAGCTGGTCAATTTAATAAGAATAATCGTTCTACAATAGACTTCTTTTTACTATTAAAATTTTATCTTTTTTTTAAACATTGTACCATTAACATCTCTGCATGTGATAATCTAACCGCAGGTTTTCAAAAATAAAAATTTCTATTTACTCAAAAGCGAAATTTACTTTGGAAATAAATAACAATATAAACACCTCACAGTCAATTTAATCTATACAAAAGATAGAAATTTGTAAGATATTACTATGACTTTAGCCACTAATATATGTTACATTTATGTCCTGCTTTAAATCTTCAATCAGTCTTTTCCATCTGTCAAAATTTTATAGCTACTGCAAGATAAAGACTCTGTTGCTATGGTAATTATTCCATTACCTAGGTGACAGTGTTCGAATGATGTCCTTACTAAAGTGATCTAACTCATGAAACATTTTTAGTTTTTGTTATGGATAGGCAGAGAGAAAACTGATTAGTGATACAAATTCAAGAAGGCTAGAAGAATGCCACTTTTCTCAATACATTGGGTACTCACAAATGAGAATTAGAAGGTAAATGCTGAAATGCATTTCCCCAATTATCTCTGCTTACAGTTGGGTCAATATCTTCATCAGCATTTCACAAAACTGAAAGAAGAGGAAGAAAGATTGCATGTGCAAGGAAAAATAAAAAGATAGCAACGTGTTCTACTGGAAGAATGGTAGAAAAGATGTCCTATTTAAATTTTTTTTTCCCCTACCTCTTCAGTTGAATCTCATGTGTGCAGTTATAAAAAAAATGCACTTTTATTTTTGTACCATGATCTAATTCTTAAACAGAGAGCTGTATACAAAGAGATATAGAGAAGAACATAGAGGAGGAGGGGGAAATAGGAAATTAGGTAGAGAAAATAGCAGAAAAGATCAGAACAGGGTTATAGGTCACTGTTCAGAATATGATAAAAGAGGAATCAGAAAGCAAAAAGGAGGCAGCAAGAAGGGTGGATGACAGTTTCAAAAGTTTGTCAAACTTCAATGACTTGTTAGGAGGTGACTGCCCTGTGACCAGAACTGATTCTGTCTAATCCAAAGGACTTTTAGATGTTGTCAAACATATAGCATGACACTCTCCAAGCTTACCAAACAGGTAAGGTTGTACAAATTGTTCCCAAGAGACAGAACAACTGATCAGATGCTTTTGGAAATGTCCTTTGAGCTCAGAGGATTCTATAGCCAACCATGCTCTAATGGCTGCAGATGAATTACTGCCCACCAAAGGAAAGACATACCATTTCCTTTATGAAGAGAGTAAAGCATCTGTACAGAGATCCTCTTTCTCTTTTCTTGTGTCTTGGTGTTTTTTTCTACATATTGGCTTACCCTGTTCTCTCATACAATAAGTGTTGAATTATGAAGCTTGAAGAGAATGGAGAAATCCTAGCTGTATATTCTATAGGTAAGGAAAAAGGTCCAGAGAGGTTCCTTGCCTTGTGGAATGATGACTATAGTTAATAAAACTGTATTGTGTACTTGAAATTTGCTAAGAAAGTAGACCTTAAGTGTTTTTAGCACAAAAAAGGGAAATATGTGAAGGGATGTTAATTCACTTGACTGTGATAATTATTTCACAAGGTAGATGCATATCAAATCATTATGTGTACACCTTAAATATATACAATTTTGTCAATTATACCTGAGTAAAAGTGGAAAAAAACTCAGAGTTGTAAGACAAGCGTACACCATTTAGTCGTCTAATACCTATTAAAGGCTTGAATCCCTGCTAACACCTGCTAGCCTCTCTGTCTGACACTGCAGGGCACAGGAATTCATTACAGCGGGAAGCAGCACATTCCATTTTGGCCAAGTTGACACAATCCATCGAGGACAATGCAATTATATAAACCTATGAGGACTTAATGTGTTGGTCTCTCATGATATTTAAATTTTATAACACAAACATGGAAAGAATATAGTTTTTCCCAAAAGCTCAAATGGCAGAACTCCAGGCACCAGGATACTTAGGCTGGTCATGGGATGACAGGGGAAGAGGCATCTCTCCTAGAAACCACACAAATCACACTGCTGGGGGTCACTGCTCTCTTTATTTATGTCTATAGCTTGTTTGGCTTAATTGGGGAGGGTGTGCTTACACACTGTGCACACATTTATTTTCTGGAAACAGTATGAATCAGGCAGAATAGGAATGGATGATAGCCACAAGCTCAACCAGAGAAACAACAGCTGCTAGGGCATCACCTCACTTTGTGAAAACTGGTAATGGACCCATTAATTGTAGTGTTTTAGGCAACTCCCAGAGCTAATATGAAAGCCATTCCCTGATTAATAATTAGCCTTTATTCAATTAAGAGCTTCATGCATCTTGTTCTTGGTATGTATTACACGACTTGACATTGCACTTAGGACACAGTTTTTACAAGAAAATGTGGCATGGCAACAATATTACTTTACAAATGCACACTCATTTCAAATTCTAACAGGTTTTGTTCTTTCTCCAAGGGATTGGGGAAGAAATAGCAAAAGCTGGAATCTAAATGTCTAAAGCTCAAAGTAATATGTCAGATTGAACCACCAACATCATAAATCAAGTTCATTAACAGCGTCTGATAAAGCTTATCTGCCTCACATCACCAGGGAGGCACTTGCTAGCAGGGGCTTTGTAGATAGAATTTTTTCAATAGATACCATCATTAGAACTCAGTAAAATAGCCATCCATGGAACAGCTTGCAGCAGTTGCTTCTGTATCATAATTACAGAAATGATTACAGTAGCAAATATTAAAAATGGTGCAGTTATGCATAATTTCTACAACACCTAATTTACCAGCAGTAAAAACAGTAATATAAGCATTGCCCAGTGATGGGACAAAGCAATTTTCAGTCAAGATGTCTAAAAATAACATCAGTTTTCTTACAGCTGGATTCATTGTTAACATGGTTTGCTTAGTCTCTTGCTTGAGAGAGCTTAATCAAGACCTAGGTGACAACCGTATTAGCTAACATGTGATTCTAATGGACTTTTAAGACAAAAATAATATGACTTCTGGAGTCCCTGAAAAACTACAGCTTTGTTAAAGGCCACCCACAGAAGATAATAGAGACTCATAAGGAAGGAACCACTTCTTTCAGCCAGGGAACAAAATTATATATTTAAACTCGACATGATCTACTTCCTTGAAGCCCCCATTTCCCATCCTGGCACTTAATCTTTCTATCCACTCACCTATCTCCACTTGATATTCTACTACTTTGGATCCGTACCAATGCTATTCTATTATAGTTTAAGCTCTTGGATGGAAGGGACTATAACTGATTCATGCCCCTAATCTCTCTCTCCCCAGAGAATCCAGCACCATATTAAGCACAAAGTAAATGTTACACATGTTCGTCAAATTAAATTGACAACCCTGAGCTGTCAAGTTATACAACATAAGTTAAATGTTACTCAGAAATGTTAGAAAAAAACATAATATACAATATCTGTACCCAGATGAGCTTGAATTTGTTTGCTGAAAGCAATAGTTCTCAATCCTGGCTGTTCATTATATCATCTGTAAGGCTTTAAGAAAACCTAGTTGCAAGGTGCCACCTTACACCATTTAAGTCAGAATTTCTGAAACTGAGGCCTGGACATAGGGATTTTTAAAACTTCCTTGAGAGAACCAGGGTTGAGAATCACTGACTTAAAGGGTATGAGTAAACATAGACTGGGAGTGTAAGCATGGAAAATAACTGATTCACTAGGAGTAAATAAATAGCTTCCTTTGCTCTGTGTCTTTGGCCATGTGCTAATTCTCTGGGCTTCATTTGGTCCCACTATGAATTTAAGGGAGTTCATTACATATGCTGTAATTCATAATTATTTTTCAGAACAAAATTACATGAGTATATTGCAACACCAACACCAGAAACACCAGTTCAGTGCCTAGCTACTGGCTTAATAAGTCACAGTTCCCAGCAGTGGGAACCAGGAATTCATATTTCTGAAAAACTCCCCAAGCCACAAAATTGCTCTTTGGACAAAAATGACAAGAAATGATTACTTTTGTGGTGTAATCTAAGAACACAACATAAAAAATGGGAAAACAAAGTATTTCTAAAAAGCAGTATAGTCCAGATCTTGATTGCTAAATAACCATTCTCCAACAAGATTTTTCTTTGAGGAACCAAGACTCTCTGGGGAAATGCTAATTCTATGATTGAGAAGGGTATTATATAGGATAAACTTGGAGTACCTTGTATGGCCAGAAAATGTTCAAAAATATAACTTAAGTGGGCATGCCAAAGGGAACAGGAGCCAGTCTGAAAGAATTTCCAGTGTCCAAATGTGGATCAGTCTGAGCAACATAATGAACAGCATAGTATTGGATGATAACTCCAAGTATAAAATAAATATTTTCTATAGATTGAATGTTTGCGTCCTTGTTCAAATTCCTATATTAAAACCTGCTACGCAGTGTCACAGTATTATTAGAGGTGGGGCCTTTGGAAGGTGATTAGGTGATGAGAGTGCAGCCCTCATAAATGAGGTTAGTGCCCTTCTTAAAAAAGACTCCAGAGAATGCTCTCACCCCTTTCAGCATGTGAGGACACAATAAAAAGGCAGCTGCCTTCTATGAACCAGGACATGGGCCTTCACCAGGCGGCAAATCTGCAAGTGCCGTGACCTTGGACTTCCCAGGCTCCAAAACTGTGAGACACAAATGTTTGTTGTTTATAAGCCGTCTAGTTTATGGTGTTTTGTTTTATCAGACCAAACACAGAAGACAATATTCATGGGTCCATAATAATATAAATGTTTGAGCAACTAAAGATGTGGGCAAAGGGACAAATCTCCCTTAGAGAAGAATTCCAAATAAATTATGTAGACATCTCTTCCTCTAAGAGGTGCAGCATCACTTCCATCACATTGGTTGTGGGCTGCATTTGGTAACTCCTCCCAAAGAAAGAGCAGGGAAAGAAAGAGCATGGAATGAGTATGGATGGGAAGAATCAATATCGTGAAAATGGCCATACTGCCCAAAGTAATTTATACATTCAATGCTATCCCCATCAAGCTACCATTGACTTTCTTCATAGAATTAGAAAAAAACTACTTTTAAGTTAATATGGAACCAAAAAAAGAGCCACATAGCCAAGACAACCCTGAGCAAAAAGAACAAAGCTGGAGGCATCATAGTACCTGACTTCAAACTATACTATGAGGCTACAGTAACCAAAACAGCATGGTACTGGTACCAAAACAGAGATATAGACTAATGGAACAGAATAGAGGCCTCAGATATAATGCCACACATCTACAACCAACTGGTCTTTGACAAACCTCACAAAAACAAGCAATGGGGAAAGGATTCCCTATTTAATAAATGGTGCTGGGAAAACTGGCTAGCCGTATGTAGAAAATTGAAACTGGACCCCTTCCTTATGCTGTATACAAAAATTAACTCAAAATGGATTAAAGGCTTAAATGTAAGACCTAAAACCATAAAAACCCTAGAAGAAAACCTAGGCAATACCATTCGGCACGTAGGCATGGGCAAAGACTTCATGACTAAAACACCAAAAGCAATGGCACCAAAGCCAAAATTGACAAATAGGATCTAATTAAACTAAAGAGCTTCAGCACAGCAAAAGAAACTATCATAAGAGTGAACAGGCAACCAACAGAATGGGAGAAAATTTTTGCAATCTATCCATCGGACAAAGGGCTAATATCCAGAATCTACAAGAAACTTCAGCAAATTTACAAGAAAAAAACAAACAACCCATCCAAAAGTGGGTGAAGTATATGAACATACACTTCTCAAAAGAAGACATTTATGCAGCCAACAAACATATGAATAAAAGCCCATCATCACTGGTCATCAGATACATGCAAATCAAAACCACAATGAGATACCATCTCATGCCAGTTAGAATGGCAATCATTAAAAAATTAGGAAACAACAGATGCTGGAGAGGATGTGGAGAAAGAGGAACACTTTGACATTGTGGTGGGAGTCTAAATTAGTTCACCAATTGTGGAAGACAATGTGGCAATTCCTCAAGGATCTAGAATCAGAAATACCATTTGACCCAGCAGTCCCATTACTGGGTATATACCCAATGAATTATAGATCATTCTGCTATAAAGACACATGCACATGTATGTTTATTGGAGCACCGTTCACAATAGCAAAGACTTGGAACCAACCCAAATGTCCATCGATGACAGACTGGATAAAAAAAATGTGGCACATATACACCATGGAATACTATGCAGCCATAAAAAAGGATGAGTTCATGTCCTTTGCAAGAACATGGATGAAGCCGGAAACTATCATTCTCAGCATACTAACACAGGAACAGGAAATCAAACACTGCATGTTCTCACTCATATGTGGGAGTTGAACAATGAGAATATATGGACATAGGGAGAATACATGGACACACAGCACACACCAGGGCCTGTTGGGGAAATACCTAATGTAGATGACAGGTTGATGGGTGCAGAACCATCATGGCACTTGTATACCGATGTAACAAACCTGCATGTTCTGCATATGTATCCCGGAATTTAAAGTATAATTAATAAAAAAAGAAATAAAAAAAGTTTCTGAATATGCTGAGAGGAGGATGAAAAAGAGGGGAGTAAGGTGGAGAGAAGGAAGACAACTTAACTGGCAGTTGCTATTATACGTGCAAGAAGAGATTAGGTTGTAAATAAAAGAATGGCAACGGGTACAGAAAGTAAGGGAACCAAGCAAAGGTAAAACTTGGAGCACTTGGTGACTAGGAGGTGAGAACATAGCAGGTATCTAAGAAGATCCTAGGTTTCTGACTTGGACGGATGGTGCTATTTCAAAAGACAGGTGATAAAAGAAGAGGAGCAGGTTTGAGGAAGATGAGTTAGGTTTTAAATTCGTTTGGATCAAGCTCCTACTGGCATTCAAACAGAAAATGTATTTGGATACTTTCTAGCATTGGCCAAGGGGTACAATTAAAAATAACTCATTGAGATGGTATACATTTAGATAGTATCACCGAAAGTGAAAAGAAAGAAATACCTAAAGGTGGAATCTCAATGAACATCAACATTTAAACAAAGAGAAGAGAAAGAGGAACCCTAAATGATAAATGAGAAGACATAAACAGAAAGTAAGAGCAGACCAGGAGAGTGTAACAGAATATTATCAGAAAAATAAATAGAAGAGCAATTCTGAAGATGAAAGATGTGTCTAATCAACAGTGTCAGAGTCCAGAGAGAGGTGAAGCAAGTTAGGATTAAAACTATTCCTCGCTGACATGATATTTTTAACTGTTTGCTTAGTTCATATAAAAATCTTATATATTTCATATTCAAGTGTTGAGATTGGATTTAATTTGGCATGTATAATGGTTTTTAGGACAAAAGAGGAAATTGGTTTTATTACTTTTCTCAACTCAACATAATCTGGAAGATGCAGTCATCACAAATGCTTAGTACTCCAGTGTTGGTATGTGAGAAATCACATGATAATCCCAATTCCTGTTTCCTATGTATTATGTATTAAAAAGGTCTCTGGAGATGCTGAGGAGAGAGGCCTTACATTATTCAAAATATTCTAACACTAGGATTTCCTCCCCTCCCCCTTTTTAATAACCACACTTCAGTTAGACGTGCAGTTAGGAAATCTGTATCCTAGACAAAGATGTAACTAACTAGCTGTGTATACTAGAGAAATTATTTATTTTCTTAGGACATTTTTGTTCATGTATATATATTCATTGAATTGAGTTATTGAAAATAAATGGATTGAGATAAATCATGGTCTGGAAGAACAAAGCCATGCTTCTAATTGAACTGCTATACTAAACTTTCACCAAGTACACATATCCTTTCTTAGAGTTACTCTCGATGGAAATGGGCCCTTCCGCTGATCCCTTTCACACTGACCATCCTGTAAGTGCTTGTTTCATCTTTGCTTCACTTTTCTTCTCGCTCTATGTGTTAGGTGTAACTCCTTCTTCCTCTTTAATTCCAAAATATACTTTACAAACCTCTATTACAGCATATACGATATTTACCCTAATTACAAGATGATGTGGTCATTGAGGCACTGACTTTAATTATATGTAAATGTGTATCCCAAACATATAGCACATGTCTGATACAAACTGAAAACAAACTTACTGGTGTTTAGTGAATGTATAGGAATTATTCAGGCAAAGGAGTCAGATGTATCATGGTGTCTTTTGATAAGCTGGGAGGGAGATGCGTAGCTCAATTTGCCCCAAACACTGAATGAAACTGAAAGTCTATGGATCTGTCATTGTATAGAGAGTGGTGAGAGCTCATGTGGCTCAGGACTTTATAAATGGTTCCCAAGGAAGCTTCTTTGGAAGTCCTATTTAATTAAGTGGTATGGTGGCATCACTGACAATGAGATACTGGAGGGCAGCCAGTCTACTCACTTTGAAGCAACACATATTGCAGCATAACTCTTCTGGGTAGGATATACTGGGATATGGATGATTATGGAATACCTAAACAACTGCAGGCTGATAGGCTCAAACACAGCAGGAGGGATGTTTATTAAGTGCCTGCTACAGCCCAATTACAAATAGGGCAGAACCACTGTGCACACAGAAAGGAATTCTAGAAAGCTGACTTACCAAAGGAGACTTGGAAAGGCACTGGACAAAACCCAGTTCTCAAAATGAGATCTGTCAGGCTAAGCAAAGTCAGCCTTGCCATGCATGTGATATTTTGAGATCACTCATATCCTGGTCAAGTCTATGGGACGTTAGCTTACATTTTCATGTACTGTTGTTTTCTTTTGTTTTCAGCCAACTTCGCTATAAGCTTTTTCAGGGAATACCATTTGTTAGACCTTTCAAAGAGTAAGTTAGGATATATGTTGTTTATCTGTGCAAGATGCCATTTGAAAAATAGTTTGGACATGGAGAAGATGAGATCATCACGCATATTTTGACAGTGTTTGAAGATACTACTGTTCTAAAAATCTGGTGGAGATGCACCTCTTTGTAACATAGCATTATGTACTATTGTGCTTGTATCAAGCTGCTTAATAAATGTTTAAAGATGACAGTTTATTGATCTTTTTTACAACCAATCATATAAAGATAATAAACTTTATCTACAGCGTTATTTTCAAATAAACGATGGCATACTGAATAGATATGCGATACAGGATATAAAATACAAAATAGATGAAAAATAATTTATTAACTTCTAATATTGATTCTTTCATCAAATATAATTTTATTTGCTGATAAAATGAAATAATCTAACCTCATCTCTTCTCATAGCTAATTCTCATATATCTCAGGCATACTTCAGCTTTAATTGAAAATCCATTTATAGGTAGCTAGTTCTTTGGATACTTGTAACTACATATCATAATCTTAGTTCCCACTTATTGGAGGATTTCTGGTTAATCAAAATATTAGTTAATCTTCCTTTTAGAAGGAATTTGTAATCATGATAAAGGAAAGTTTCTATACAAATCTTTAAAACCTGAATCACCAATCAAATCATTTAACACAGCTTAAGCATCTAACATAGGCAAAATATAAGACTATCAGAACACATAGCCTCAACAATTAGGGAAGAGAATGTTGGCGAGATCAATAACTATGATATAAGATATGATAAAATATATGTGATATGGGGTACAATGTTGTATTAATTAAGAAAATGCAGTCAAGTTGCAGTGATTATTGGAAACAGTGCAATTAGAACTTAGGTAATATTATTGGTTTTGCAACCTTTTCCAAACCAATGCCAAGGTTCTGTGATAAAACACAAACAAAATATGAGGCTTATTTTCATCATACAGACAAAATATGAGGCTTACTTTCATCTATCTGAGATGAATTTATGTTATAAGGTCCAATCTAATAAATAGAATTTCTGTTAAATAGTCTTGATGCTCTAGAATCTCAAAATACTGTAGACAGGTGCCCTACTTAGAAATCAAAATTTATTGAGTATTACTTAGCCTGAGCATTACTCTAATTTCCAGCATATTAACTCTGAACCTTGTCCCATATACGAGTAGTTCATAGGAAAAAATATATGAAGAAAATACCATTTAACACTGGAAGTAGCAAATATGTGAAACTTAGTAATTTATGACTGGATATTAATGAAGAATATTAAAAGGGACTTAATCCAATTTACTAGAGCAGCATACTTAGACACATGGCAATAGAGTGAGATTGAGTTCAGGAATCATTGCTTATCTTTATCTCCTATTTCTATGTATCTTAAACCAATACACTTGCCCTTTGATTCTAAGTTTCCATGGAAGTTTGGCACTACAAGTTAAACAGAGAACATTTGTTTTTTGTTATTTTCAAAGAATGGTGACAATTCTACCTCTTCCTAAGAGCTACTCAGCTGCAAAAAAATACTATTTCAGACCAAGGGAATAATAATTACCATTTCTAATCTCTTGACAGCTCTGACTGTGACTAAAATGACTGGGAATACTCACTTTCTAGACTTTCTAACTGCAAGGTAGGAGGTTTTTGTTTTTTGTTTTTTGTTTTTTGTTTTTTGTTTTTTGAGATGGAGTCTCGCTCTGTTGCCCAGGCTGGAGTGCAGTGGCGCGATCTCAGCTCACTGCAAGCTCCACCTCCCGGGTTCAGGCCATTCTCCTGCCTCAGCCTCCCGAGTATCTGGGGCCACAGGCGCCCACCACCACGCCCGGCTAATGTTTTGTATTTTTAGTAGAGATGGGGTTTCACCGTGTTAGCCAGGATGGTCTCGATCTCCTGACCTTGTAATCCGCCTGCCTTGGCCTCCCAAAGTGCTGGGATTACAGGCGTGAGCCACTGCGCCTGGCCGGTAGGAGGTTCTTATACCTGTCGGCACTCAGGTAGTGCTACATGACAACCCAAGATCTTGAAGTAATCTGTAAAATATATTTAATAAACCAGGTATTTTTCATTGTAACATAAAATACCCAGAAACTTCAAAAGGTCTTCGAATTAAGATAGTTTTCTAAGTGTGAATCCTTGACTGCCCATCTCAGAATCATTTGGAGGACTTGCTAAAAATACTGATTTCTAGGTTCCACCTCATTTCTACTAACTCAGGTACTCTAAAGCTAGAGACTAGGAAACTGACATTTATTTTCTTCATATGCGTAAGTTTAAGAATTGCTTATTTAAGTTGGGGATGTCCCAAGGAATAATGAAAAACACACATAAAGTAATTGAAAAATTCACATAGTATGATAACTAAAGATCTCATTAGTTTTATGCCAATAACAGGCAGGTCACTCTTTTGAGTATCTGCTATATTTACAACATCTTTCATGTAGAAATTACAGCCCACCTACATTACAGATAAAACAAATTGAAAAGGGAACCACAGAATAACTTATGTTTATGAAATAGAGGTTCTACCAGACTAAAGAAACATAGTAGAGAATTTCTACACACATAATTACTATATCAGAGCCTTGGAGCCTGTGCAGATGAAAAGAAAGTATAGCCATAATTTAACATTGCACACAAACTGCCTTCTGCGACAGCCAGAACTCACCCGCCAGGCCCCATCTCTCTCTCTCTCAGTATCTTACTTTTACATTCATTCTGAGGCCATTATCTCATAGAAGTGGCATATGACTGTTACTTCCTAAGATTTTCTGGTTTATTCATAAAAAGTATGTGGAGCAATGTGTTGGAAAACTTACAGTGTTTACAAGCTACTTTTTAAAATTAAGAATTTCAAAGCATTTCAAACTATGTAGGAATAAATTTTCCTCACTATATTTTGAGAAGCAGGAAATGGGAACAGGTGAAAATCTCATCCTCTCATTACATTTCAGCAAAGTCACACTAGGTAAAGGGTTTCCCAGACAATGGAAGCTTAATGAGAGCCTGTGCACATCAACGTGTCCTCAAATAAGATCTAAAAACAAGGTTATTTGATGCACTCAGTTGACTAAAGGATCAAAGATAATACATTCACCCTGAAGTTTCAAATAGAACTTGCATACATAAACAGATACTTTATTCTTTGTAAAAGAGTCAAGAGAAAAAGAAAAACAGCAACAACATAGAGCATGTGAAAAGTTTTATAATATAAAAATAAGAAAAGTTTTACAGGATAAGCATGCTATAGAAAAGGTTCTACTATAAATAAACAAAAGACACTTTTAGACTGTATATGCTTTGTGCTCTCAACAAAATATAGAAAAGAATAACAGACTGGGCACAGTGGCTCATGCCTGTAATCCCAGCACTTTGGGAGGCCAAGGCAGATGGATTACAAGGTCAGGAGTTCGAGACCATCCTGGCTAACATAGAGAAACCTCATCTCTACTAAAAATACAAAAAAATTAGCTGGGCGTGGTGGCGGGCACCTGTAGTCCCAGCTACTCGGGAGACTGGGGCAGGAGAATGGCGTGAACCCAGGAGATAGAGCTTGCAGTGAGCCGAGATCGTGCCACTGCATTCCAGCCTGGGCAACAGAGTGAGACACCATCTCAAAAGATAAAAAAAAAAAAAAAAAAAAAAAAAGAATATAGCCTAAAATAAGACACAACACTTAGATTAAAATGGAGCTCTCAGATATAAAATATGCAGGAAACAATAATAATGCAGGAAAGCCAAAAGCAGAAAGAATTAAAACTCTGTATTGGCTATATTAAGAGAAAATATCTTTATCAGAGTAAACTAAATCAATAAAGAAAAATCTAGTGATATCTAAGGAAATAAGGAAAAAATCTTCAGAAATGCATTTGTGGGATATAAACACACTCCCCTTAGTCTTTGAGATATCAATTACATCAAACATACATAAAGAAAAAGATTAATGGAAGGTATAATGTGAGGTATTTTACTTTGCAGAGTTATTTTTGACATGTCCTAAGTCAGCAGCTTCAGTCTAAATCTGTCTTGCCACCTGTTTTTGTACATAAAGTTTTATTAGAACACAGCATCACCTGTTCATTTATCTATTTATCTAATGTCTATGACTATGTGCATATTATGTGTAGAGTTGAGTAGTTGTGGCACAGACCATATGAATTACAAAGCCAGATATGAATTCATAGGCCATATGAATTACAAGGCTACATATTTACTATCTAGTCTGTATTAGTCCATTTTCATGCTGCGGACAAAGACATACCTAAGACTGGGAAGAAAAAGAGGTTTGAGTAGACTTACAGTTCCACGTGGCTGGGGAGGCCTCAGAATCGTGGCAGGAAGCAAAAGGCACTTCTCACATGGCAGCAGCAAGAGAAAATGAGGAAGATGTAAAAGCAGAAACCCTTGATAAAACCATCAGATCTCATGAGACTTATTCACTACCACAAGAACAGTATGGGGGAAACCACTCACATGATTCAAATTATCTCCCACCAGGTCCCTCCTACAACATGTAGGAATTATAGGAGTACAGTTCAAAATGAGATTTGAGTGGGGACACAGAGCCAAATCATATCCTAGTCTATACAGAAAATGTTTGCTGAATGCTACCCTAGACCACTGGACATATAAACACATTATTAAATCAGCAGATCCCTGAGTGTTCATGGATTGTATATGGCATTTAATATCATATACATGTGTTATAAAGGCCTCTAAAGAATTTGTTACTTCTTTCTCACCAGACCTAATTATTATGATATCATCAATGTACTGGATAAACATAACATGTCTCCAGATGAAGATACATTTTAAATTGATTGCCACATGGAGTGGGAGAGTTAATATTGCTCTGAGATAAAACAATAAAGGTCAATAGCTATTTCTGCCAGTTAAAAGCAAATGGCTTTATCTAAGTATTTTTCTAATTGATATAGAGAAAAAATACATTGGAAGATGAAGAGAGCAGCTTCAATCAGAGGTACTTTTTAAATAAAGCTTTTGATATGCTATTGCCATTCCTTAAGATCCATTTGTTTTCTGCACAGGACAAAATGGGCATATTTCATGAAGATGTTTGAGTAAGCACCTCCATCTGTTAAGTTTTTTATGAAAATACTTCCATGGTTCCAGGGATGTAAATAGTTTTGAGAGACTGTCGTGATAAGATGGGTTACCTCAGGGGACAACAGCAGCAAAATGGTGGAACAGGAATCCCCAGGCCCTCCCCTTACCGTGAAGACATGGACTCAACAACAATCTATAGACCAATTCCATTTGTGAGAAATCAGAAACCATTTCAGAGGCTCCTGTACTCCAGGCAAACATGAGCCAGTAGGAAAATCAATGGCACTTACTCACCAGAGTCTCACCTTTTGACAGCATGAGGCAATCAGGAAACTTCTGGCTCCTGGTTTTGTTGCTGGGGGAAGATAGAGAAGACTGAACCATATGTCCAACATTTTGACTTTGTGTGAGGTTGGGGGGATTGCTGGCTGACAGACTAGCTAGTCTTGCCAGAATCTAAGCACTGACAGGAAAAGGTGCCAGGTAGAATCCCACTGAAAACAAAGGCAATACTTAAAACTCTCACACATACACACACACACACACACACACACACACACACACACACACTCACTCACTCACCGTATTCCCTTCTTCTGTCTCAGCATAGAATGAGAGGGAGAAAATGCCCAACTTCTATCTTTAACCTGGGGAGAAAAATATTTGGAGAAAATGTTCAATGTTTTGGCTTTTTGAGAGACTGCCCAAGAAATTAGCTTCTGTCTCACCTGTTTCAAAGAATTAATGGAAACCAGCATATTCTAGATGCCTAGGGGCTACTAAGAACAAAAGAGAGCTGGCCAGTTTACTCTTGCTCTAGAAGACCCACAGTATTGCAAACAGAGGCCAGTGCTGTTTGGTAGCCTCTCAGCTGGAAAAGAGAAGAGTAGAATCGACATCCAACATTCTGCCTTTTGGAGGGACTGCCAGAGGAACTGATTTCTGTCTTTTCCCATTCAGAGTACTGATAGAACCCAACGTACTCTAAAAGCCTGAGGACCACTGAGCACAAAAGTGAACTAGGTGGCTTGCAGCAACTAGAGAATCTGCAATACTATAGACACCAGACGATGCAAAATATTATAAGCTACATTAAATAAAGAAACCAGCAAATTCCTGTAATTAGGAAATTACCCACACAAGTCCAGAGAAGATATATCTACAGAAAAGGTACTGTATTAGTGTGTTCTCATGCTGCTGTGAAGAACTGCATGAGACTGGGTAATTTATAAAGAAAAAAGGTTTAATATACTCAGTTTCACATGGCTGGAGAGGCCTGAAGAAACTTACAATCATGGCAGAAGGGGAAGTAAACACATCCTTCTTCATAAGGCGACAGGAGAGAGAAGTGCAGAGCAAAGGGGGGAAACGCCCTTATAAAACGATGAGATCTCATGAGCACTCACTCACTATCACAAAACAGCATGGGGGAACCATCCCTATGATCTAATTACCACCCATGAGGTCCCTCCCCAAAGACGTGGGGATTACACTTTGGAATACAATTCATGATGAGATTCAGGTGGGGACACAGAGCCAGACCATATCATTCTTCCCTGGCCCCTCCCAAATCTTGTTTTTCTCACAGTTCTAAACAAAATTATGCCTTCCCAACAGTTCTTCAACGTCTTAACTCATTTCAGCATTAACCCCAAAGTCCAAGTCAATAGTCTCATCTGAAACAAGGCAAGTCCCTTCTGCCTATGAGCCTGTAAAGTCAAAAGCACGTTAGTTACTTTATCAACACAACGGAGATACAGGCATTGGGTAAACACACATTTTACAAATGGGAGAAATTAGCCAAAACAAAGAGGATATAGGACCCATGCAATTCTGAAAACAAATGAGGCAGCAATTAAATCTTAAATCTTCAAAAGAATCTCCGTTGACTCAATGTCTCACATCCAAGTCATGTTGATACAAGAGATGGGCTCCTATGGCCTTAGGCAGGTCTACCCCTGTGGCCTTGCAGGGTACAGCCCCCCACTCCTGGCTACATTCATGAGCTGGTGTTGAGTGTCTGCTATTTTTCCAGGTATGCAATGCAACCTCCTGGTGGGTTTACCATTCTGGGGTCTGGAGGATGGTGGCCCTCTTCTCGCAGCTCCACTAGGCAGTGCCCAAGTGGGGACTCTGTGTGGGGCCTCCAACCCCACATTTTCCTTCCACACAGCCCTAGCAGAGCTTCTCACTCTGGGCCCCACCCCTGGAGCAAACTTCTGCCTGGACATCCAGGAGTTTCCATACACCCTTTGAAATCTAGGCGGAGGTTCCCAAACCTTAATTCTTGACTTCTGTGCACCTGCAGGCTCAATGACACATGGAAGCTGCCAAGGCTTGGGGCTTTCATCCTATGAAGCCATGGCCCTAGCTCTATCTTGGCCCTTTTTAGCCAAGGCTAGAGTGACTGGGACACAGGAAACCAAGTCCCTAGGCTGCACACTGCAGGAGGACCCTAGGCCTGACCTATGAAACCATTTTTTCCTTCTAAGCCTCTTGGCCTGTGATGGGAGGGGCTGCCATGAAGGTCTCTTACATGTCCTGGGGACATTTTCCCCTTGTCTTGGTGATTAACATTAGGCTCCTTGTTACTTAAGCAAATTTCCACAGCAGTATTTTCTTCCTAGAAAATTGATTTTTCTTTTCTATTGCATCATCAGGCTGCAAGTTTTCCAAATATTTATGTTCTGCTTCCTCTTGAATGCTTTGCCACTTAGAAATGTCATCTGCCATATACCCTAAATCATCTCTCTCAGGTTCAAAGTTTCACAGATCTCTAGGGCAGGGGCAAAATGCTGCCAGTGTCTTTGCTAAAGCATAGCAAGAATTACCTTTATTCCGGTTTCCAACAAGTTTCTCATCTCCACCTGAGACCACCTCAGCCTGGACTTCTTTGTCCATATCTCCGTCAACATTTTGGTCAAAGCCATTCAACAAGTCTCTAGGAAGTTCCAAACTTTCCCGCATTTTCCTTTCTTCTTCTGAGCCCTCCTTCTTCTGAGCCTTCTGGGTAACTGCCTGTTACCCAGTTCCAAAGTCACTTCCACTTTATCAGGTATCCTTATAGGAGCACCCCACTATCTGCCAATTTACTGTATTAGTTCATTTTCACACTGCTATAAAGACCTGCCTGAGACTCAGTAATTTATAAAGAAAAGAAGTTTAATTGATTCAGAGTTCCACATTGCTAGGGAGGCCACAGGAAACTTATAATTGAGGCAGAAGGGGAAGCAAATATGTTCTTTACAAGGCAGCAGGAGAGAGAAGTGCAGAGTGATGGTGAGAAAAGCCCACTATAAAACCATCAGATCTCATGAGAACTCACACACTATCACAAGAACAGCAGAGGGGGGCACAATTTAATCACTTCTATAAGATCCCTCCCCGAACGCATGGGTATTATACTTCATATTACCATTCAAGATGAGATGTGGGTGGAGACACAGAGCCAGACCATATCAGGTAGAAATAGCACCAAGAATCTCTAGCTAGATTGATTGGTGATCTTTGTCTGTATGAAGCCAGTTCATGTAGAAAAAGAGGTGGCTGTTTTTAAAATGTGTAGATTCCAATACATATTAAAAAGTCTGAGAAGGAAACAAGGAAACATAATCCAATCAAGGGAACAAAATAAATCTCCAGAAATCAACCTTAAAGAAAAGGAGACTTTGGCATCCCCTGACAAAGAATTCCATGTAACTGAAATAAAGTGCTCAGTAAACTATGAAGGCTGGCATGAACAAAATGAGAATATCAACAAAGATATATGACATATAAAAAAGAACCAAATAAGAATTTTGGAGCTAAAGAATACAATAACTGAATTGAAAAACTCTCTAAAGGGGTTCACCTGCATATTTAATTAAGCAGAAGAAAGAACCATTGAACCTGAGGAAAGGTCATTTGGAATTATCCAGTGAGAGTAACAAAAAGAAGGCAAAAGAATGAAGAAAGCATATGAGACTTATGGAATACCATAAAGCAGATCAATATACTCATTACAGAAGACCTAGAATGAGAAAAGAGAATGAATGTGACAGAAAGCTTATTTGAAAAAAATAATGTTATGAAACTTTCCAAGTCTGAAGAAGGAAGAAAACACCCAGACTTAGGAAGCACACAGACAGACTACAACTAGAACTACAACTAAAATAAATTCAAATAAGTTCACACTGAGAAAGACTGTATTATATTGTCAAAAGTCAAAGACAAAGAAAATGTTGAAAGCAGCAAAAGAAAGGAAATTCATACAGTATAGGAAGTCCAATAAGACTTTCAACAGATTTCTCAGCAGAAATCCTGCATTCTAGAAAGAAATGCAATTATGTATTCAAAGTGCTGGAAAAAAGAAAACCCTGAAAACCAAGAATACCACATCTGACAAAACTGCCCTTCAAAAATGAAGGATAAAAAAAGACTTTCTTAGATAAATAAGCCCTGAGAGGATTCATCACCACTAGACTCAGGTAATAAAAATATTTAAACGGAGTCCTTTAAGGTGAAGTGACAGGATGCTAGAGAGTAACACAAAAGCATATAAAAATATAAAGTTTATGATTAAAGTAAATATATACACAAATAGTGGATACTGTAATATTTTTTAAATGGTGCTTAAATAACTTCGAATTCTGCTATATAAATTAAAAGTAAATAATATAAAAATAACTATAACAATGTGCTCTAATAGATACACAATTAAACAGTGTAATTATTGAGATAAAATGATGTGTGCATGGGAGAAGCAATAGAGTTTAGTTTTGTATGAAGTTAAATTATGTTGTTATAAATTAAAAGAGATAATTATAAGATGTTTTACAGAAATACCATGGTAACAACAAAAAAGGCCTATAGAAGATATACAAAAGAAAATGAGAAAGAAATCAAACCATGTCACCACAAAAAAATTAATGAAACACAAAGGAAGAGAAGAAGAAAGAAAAAAAGGGGCAAAAAGTTGCAAGGTAGACAAAATAATTAACAAAATGTCAAGAGTAAGTTCAGCTCTATAAGTAATTACTTTAAATGTAAATGGATTAAATTTCCCAATCAAAAGACAGAGCAACTGAATACTTTTCTAAAAAACAAGACCCAACTATATGCTGTCTACATGAGACTTACTTTAGATTTAAGGACACACATAGGCTGAAGTAAGGGATTTAAAAAATATATTATATGAAAATGGTAGCCAAAAGAGAGCAGAATTGGCCATAGTTGTATCAGATGAAATAGACTTTAAGTCAAAATTTGAATTAAAAACAAATAAGAACATTATATAATAATAAAAGAACCAATTCACCAGGAATATATAATAATTATAAATATATTTGCACCCAACATCATAGTACCCAAATATATAAAGCAATAACTGACAGAACAAAAGGAAGAAATAGCAATAGAATAATGGGGATTTCAATATCCAACTTTTAATAAACAATGAAACATTTAGGCAGAATATTAATTCAAAAACAGAACAATGTTTCAAAATTGAACAATATTGTAGATCAAATAGACATAACAGATACATGCAAAACACACTACCCAACATTATCAGAATACATATTCTTCTCAAGTTTACATGGAACACTCTCCAGGAAAGATCACATTAGATCACAAAGCAAGTCTTAACAATTTTAAAAGATTAAATTATACCAAATATCTTTTTGGAATAAAAATGGAATAAAGGTAGAAAGAAAAGAAAAAAATTTAGAAGTACATGGAAATTAATAAAACACTCCTGAAAAAAATTAATGAGTCAAAGAAGAAATCAAAAAGGAAATTAGAAAACATCCTGACACAAACAAAAATGATAACATAACATACTAAAATTTTTGGGATACAGCAAAAGCAATACCAAAAGGGAGGTTTAAAGCAGCAAATGCCTACATTAAAAAATAAGACAGATAAAAAAATGACCTAACTTTAAACCTCAAAGAACTAGAAAAAAATTAAGTCCAATCTCATAGAACAAAGGAAATAATAAAGATTGGAGCAGAAACAAGAAAAATTAAGAATATTAAAACAGAAAAATATTGAAACTAAGAATTTGATTTTTCAAAACCAAGTTGACAAATTCTTAGCTAGATTAAGAATAAAAGAAGGAAGAATTCAAATAAATAAAATTAGAAATAAAACAGGAGATATCAAAACTGATGTGGAAATAAAAAAAGGTTATAAATGATTATTGTGAACAATAGTACACCAAAAATTGGATAACCTAAAAGAGATGGGTATATTCTAGATACATATAACTCATCAAAACAGAATCATGAAAAAGTATAAAATCTTAACAGACCAATAATTAGCAGGGAGATTCCATTAATAATAAAAAAAATCTCTCAACAAAGAAAAGCCCAGGACCTAATGACTTCACTAGACAATTCTGCTAAACATTTAGATATGAATTAACACTAATTCTTCTGAAACTCTACCAAAAATGAAAAAAAAAAAGAAACAAGGGTGAGAACACTTCCAAAATTATTCTGTAAGGCCAGCATCACTATGTTACCAAAGTCAGAAAATAACTCTACAAGAAAACTACTGGCCAATATCTCTGATGAATACAAATGCAAAAATCCTCCACCAAATGTAGTGGTCCTTCTGTGGGCGATTGGTTTCAGGACTCACTGTGGATACCAAAATCCACAGATGCTCACGTCCTTTGTATAAAATGGTGTAGTATTTGCATATGACCTACACACATTCTCCCATATACTTTAAATTATCTCCAGATTACTTAAACTATCTAATACAATGTAAATGCAATGTATATAGTTGTTATATTCTATTGTTTAGGAAATAACAACCAGAAAATCTGTACATGTTTAGTTCAGATGAAATTATCCATATTTAAAAAATTATTTTTGATCCATGATTGCTTGAGTCCACAGATGCTGAACTC
The DNA here is from genome assembly GCF_000001405.40 of Homo sapiens. Taxonomy (NCBI): domain Eukaryota; kingdom Metazoa; phylum Chordata; class Mammalia; order Primates; family Hominidae; genus Homo; species Homo sapiens. The sequence continues at coordinate 49,534,841 of NC_000002.12, forward strand.
ACAGAAACAGAGAGCTGAGTATACTAGCAAACCGAATTCAACAGCACATAAAAAGTGCTACACCATAACCAAGTGGAATCTGTCTCTGGGATGCAAAGATGGTTCAACATACCTGAAGCAATCAATGTGATATACCACTTTAACATAACAGAGTATAAAATTTATGATCACCTAAATAGATGCAGAAAAAGCATTTGAAAAAATTCAACCCCATTTCAAAAAAACTCAACAAATTAGAAATAGAAGGAAATTACTTCAACATAATAAAGGCCATATATGAAAATACCACAGGTAACATCAGTATCAAAGGGAAATGCCTGAAAGCTTTTCATCTAAGATAAGGGACAAGTCAAGGATGCCCACTCTTGCAACTTCTCTCTATCTATCCAACATGGTACTGGAATTCCTAGCTAGGACAATGGAAAAGAAAGAAAGGAAACAGTCAATAATCAACTCAAAAAGGACAAAATAACTAAACATACTGAAACTGTATCTCTGGTATACTTGAAACTATAAAACTTCTAGAAGAAAACATAAGAGAAAACCTTTATAACACTGTTCTTGGCAATGATTTCTTGTATGTGACACCAAAGCACAGACAACAAAAGCAAAAATAAATAAGTGGGACTACATCAAACTAAAATGTTTCTACATAGCAAAGAAAACATCAACAGAGTAATAAGGCAACATACAGAATGGTAGAAAATATTGCAAACCTTATATTTGATAAAGGGTTAATATCCAAAATATGTGAAGAATTCAAATCAATAGCAAGAAAATAAACAGTTTACTTAAAAAATGGGCAACAGACTTTAATGGACATTTCTCCTAAAACATATACAAATGACTGACAGATATATAAAAATATTCTCAACATCACCAATCATCAGAGAAATGAAAATTAAAACTATAATGAAATGTTACCTCACACCTGTTAGAATGGTTATTATATTAAAGAAAGAAAGGAAAATAACAAACCTTGGCAAGGAAGTGAAAAATTGGAACTCTTGTACACTCTTGGTGGAAAAGTAAAATAGTGCAGCCACTTTAAAAAACAAGATAGAAATTCCTCAGAAAATTAAAAATAGAATTACTAAATAATCCAGTCATTTAACTTCTAACTATTTATCAAAAAGAATTGAAATCAGGATCTGGGGTGGGGGAAGATATCAAAATAGAAGGCTCCACTGAACAGTTCCCCAAAAGACACCAATTTAAACTATCTACACACAAAATAAGCACCTTCTTAAGAACCAAAAATCAGGTGAGTACTCACAGTACTGCTTTTAAGTTCACATCACTGAAAGAGACACTGAAGGCCGGGCATGGTGGCTCACGCCTGTAATGCCAGCACTTTGGGAGGCCGAGGCAGGTGGATCATGAGGTCAGGGGATTGAGACCATCCAGGCTAACACAGTGAAACCCCGTCTCTACTAAAAATACAAAAACAAAATTAGCTGGGCGTGGTGGTGGGTGCCTGTAATCCCAGCTACTCAGGAGGCTGAGGCAGGAGAATGGCGAGAACCAGGGAAGCAGAGCTTGCAGTGAGCGGAGGTAGCACCACTGCACTCCAGCCTGGGCAACAGAGCGAGATGCCATGTCAAAAAAAAAAAAAAAAAAAAAAAAGAGACACTGAAGTGGTAGGAAAAACAGTCTTTAATAATTGACACCATCCCTCCCCTATGCCCTGGCAGTGGTAGTCCCAGTACACTTTTAGTAGGGGTGGCCACAGGATTGCTTGTGTCACTCTACCCCCAGCTCCAGGTGGCTCAGAACACACACACATAGAAATTTTGTTTGTTTGGGAGAAAGCAAAGAAAGAGAAAAACAGTCTCTGCCTGGCAATCTACAGAATTCTTGTGGATATTGTTCAAGACCATCAAGGGGATACCTCTATAAGTCCGCAAGAACCACAGCATTACTGACTTAAGAGTGCCTCCTAAAGTAGATATAGCTTAGATAAACAACAGTCAAATACTTTCAAATATCTGAAAAGCCTTCCCAAGGTGGATGAATACAAATAGGCCCAGGCTGAGAAGACTGCAATAAATATCTAACTCTTTAATGTCCAGACACAGATGGACATCTACAAGTATCAAGACCACCCAGGAGAACATGACCTCAACTAATGAACTAAATCAGGCAACAGGGATCAATCCTGGAAAAACAGAGATATGTGACCTTTCTGAAAGAGAATTAAAAATAGCTGTGTTAAGGAAACTCAAAGAAATTCAAGATAAAACAGAGAAGGAATTCAGAATTCTACTCACAAATTTAACAAAAATTGAAATAATTTAAAAGAATCAAGCAGAAGTTCTGCGGATGAAAAATTTTATTGGCATACTGACAGATGCAGAGGAGTCTTTAATAGCAGAACTGATAAAGGAGAACAAAGAATTGGTGAGTTAGAAAACAGGCTATTTAAAAATACAGTCAGAATTGGCAAAAGAAAACAGAATAAAAAACAATGAAGCATGCCTATGACATGTAGAAAATATCCTCAAAACGGCAAATCTAAGAGTTATTGGTCTTCATGAGGAAGTACAGAAAGAGATAGGGGTAGAAAGTTTATTGAAAAGGACAACATTAGAAAACTCCCCAAAGCTAGAGAACGATATCAACATTCAAGTGCAAGAAGGTTATAGAACACCAGGCAGATATAACTCAAAGAATAAATCAAGGCATCTAATAATCAAACTCCCAGAGGTAAAGGATAAAGAAAGGATACTAGAGAGAAAAGAAACAAATAACGTACAATGGAGCTCCAATATGTTTGGCAGCAGAATTTTCAATGGAAACTTTACAGTCCAGAAGAGAGTGGCATAGCGTGTTTACAGTGTTGAAAGAAAAAAAGTTTTACCCTAGAATAGCATATCTTGTGAAAACAACCTCCAAAGATGAAGGAGAAATACTTTCCCAGATACACAAAAGCTGAGGGACTTTTATCAACACCATACCTGCCCTGTAAGAAATGCTAAAGAGAGTACTTCAATCAGAAAGAAAAGAATGTTAATGAGAAATAAGAAATCATCTGAAGGTAAAAAAAAAAAATCTCACTGGTAATACTGAATAAACAGAAAACTAGAAATTCATAACACTATAATTGTGGTGTGTAAACTACTCTTGAAATCACCTTTGCAAAAATTATAACTGAGAAAATTATAACAGTGAAGGAGATCTGAGCTAAGTAACTCCATCTGGCTTCTAATCTCCAAGCTGTCCTTGCTCATTCCTAGGCATCAGCCAAACTAACTTTGGGAAGAACTTAGTTTATAGTTCAACTTTGAAACAAAGACAATAAGAGCCCTGGCCCAAAACAAACCACCTTCCTGCTTGAGGACTAGCCTGTCTTTGCAGAACTAACAAATTAGCCACAAGATTAGAAATTATGCTTTAGGAGTCACACAGCTGGAGGCTGCAAGATTCTGAACCTCCCCAAATTGCTTCTGGGGATAACATCACTATTATAAAACCTAAGATCAGTGCTTGAGATATGTTGCAGACCCTGTACTTGATAGATAAGCTGGCATCACCAAAATGGATAAAATGGTTCATCTTGTATTGGGGCCCCTACCCAGGAAGTGACTTAGCAGAAGATGACAGTGTTGACTCCCTATGACTTTATCTCTAACTCAACCAGTCCGCACTCTTGACTCACTGGCCTCCTATGTACTAAATTATCCTTAAATATCCCAATTCCCAAGTTTTTGCAGTTACTGATATGAGTAATAATAAAACTCTAGTCTCCCATACAGCTGGCTCTGCATGAATTAAACCATTTCTCTATTGCAATTTCCCTGTCTTGATAAGTCAGCTCTGCCTAGGTAGTGGGCAAGAAGGACCCATTGGTCGGTTACACTCTTATCTTAGACTAAATGGTGAACCAATCAAAAATAACACCTGTAACAACATTTCAATACATGGACATTTTAAATAGAAACAACAAAAATTTACAAAGTTTAGGGACAAAGTTAAGGTATAGAGACCTTATGAGTCCTTATTAGTTTTCTTTCACTTGTTTGTGTGTGTGTGTTTGCAAATAACATTAAGTTGTTATCAGCTTAAAATCATGTGCTACAAGATAGTATTTGCAAGCCTCATGTTGACCTCAAACCAAAGAACATACAACAAATAAACAAAAAAATACAAAGCAAGAAACTAAATTGTATCATCAGGGAAAATCACCTCAAGTGAAAGGAAGAAAGAAAGAAAAAAAAAAGAAGATTACAAAACAACCAGAAAACATGTAACGAAATGGCAGGAGAAAGTACTTACTTATCAATAATAACATTAAATGTAAATGGACTAAACTCTCCAAACAAAAGAGACAGAGCACCTGAATGAATTAAAAAATAAGACTGAATGATCTGTTGCTGATAAGAAACACACTTCCTCAATGAAGACACATATAGACTAAAAATAAAGGAACAGAAAAAATATTCCATGCAAATGGAAACCAGAAAAGCAGGAATAGCTGTACTTACATTGGAAAAAAACAGACTTCAAGACAAAAACTAGAAGAGGACACAAAGAAGGTCACTATGTAATGATAAAGGGGTAAATTCAGCAAGATGATATGGCAATTATAAAAATATATGTACCCAATACTGGAAAACCATGATATATAAATAAATATTGCTAGAGCTAAAGAGTAGAGCTACTACTCCAATGCAGTAATAGACGGAGACTGCAACAACCAATTTTCATTATTGGACAGATCTTCCAGATAGGAAATCAACAAAGAAACTTCAGGCATAATCTCCACTATAGACCAAATGGACCTAATAAATATTTACAGAACATTTCATCTAACAGCTGCAGAATACACATTATTTTCCTCAGCACATGGATTATTCTCAAGGATAGTCCATATGTTAGGTCACAAAACAAGTCTTAAAACATTAAAAAAATTGAAGTAGTATAAAACAAACATCTTCTCTGACCACAATGGAATAAAAGTAGAAATCCATATAAAGAATTGTTGAAACTATACAAAAAATGGAAATTAAACAATATGCTGAATGGCCAATGGGTCAATGAATAAATTAAGAAGAAATCGAAAAAGGTCTTGAAACAAATAATAATGGCAACACAACATACCAAAACCTATGGAATACAGCAAAAGTACTACTAAGAGGAAAATTTATAGCTATAAGTGCCTACATTAAGAAAGAAGAAAAACTTCAAATAAACAACCAAATGATGAATCTTAAAGAAATAGAAAAGCAAGAGCTAACTGAACTCAAAATTAGTTCAATAACGACAATGAAAAATAAAAACAGAGAAAAAATGAAATTGAAATGAAGAAAACAAAACAAAATATCAATAAAACACAAAAAGTTCTTTTTTGAAAACAAACAAAATTGACATAACCATTAGCCATTCTAATAAAAAATGGAAGATCCAAATAAATAAAATTATAGTTAAAAAAAGAGACATTAGGACTGATACTGCAGAAATTCAAAGGATTAGCTAGGCACAATGACTCATGCCTATAATCTCAGTAATTTGGGAGGCCAAGGTGGGTGGATCACTTGAGTTCTGGCATTCAAGACCAACCTGGGCAGCAAGGCAAAATCCACCTCCATAAAAATTAGAAAAATTAGCCAGGCATAGTGGTGTTCACCTGTTTCTCAGCAACTTGGGAGGCCTAAGTGGGCGGATCACTTGAGGCTGGAAGGCAAAGGTGGCAGTGAGTCAGGATCACACCACTGCACTCCAGCCTGGGCAACAAACTGAGACCTTGTCTCAAAAGAAAAAAAAACACTAATTCAAAGGATCATTAGTGGCCTGATGAGCAACTATAAGCTCATACAGGAGAGTCTAGAAGAAATGAACAAATTCCTAGGCACATGCCACCTACCAAGATTGAACCAGGAAGAAACTCAAAACCTAGACAGACCAATAACAAGTAATGAGGTTGAAGCTGTAATAAAAAGTCTAGTAAAGAAAAGCCTAGGACACGATGGTTTCTCTGCTGAATTCTACCAAACATTTAAAGAAGAACTAATAGCAATTTTACTAAAATTATTCTGAAAAATAGAGGAGGTTGGAATACTATCCAACTCATTTTATGAGCCCAGTATTACCCTGATACCAAAACCAGACAAAGACACATCAACAAAAAAGAAAACTACAGGTCGATATCCCTGGTAAATATTGATGCAAAAATCTTCTACAAAATACTGGCTGACTGAATTCAACAATACGTTTAAAAGATTATTCATCATAACCAAGTAGGATTTATCCCAGGGATGCAAGGATGGTTCGACATATACAAATCAATGAATGGGATACATCATATCAACAAAATGAAGGACAAAAACCATATGATCACTTCAACTGATGCTGTAAAAGCGTTTGATAAAATATAACATCCTTTCATGATAAAAACTCTCAAACAACTGGTATAGAAGAAACATGCCTCAACATAATAAAAGCTATACATTACAGACCCACAGCTAGAAACGTACCAAATGGGGAAAAATTGAAAGTCTTTCCTCTAAGATCTGGAATATGACAAGGATGCCCATTTTCACCACTGCTATTCAACATAGTACTGGAAGTCCTAGCTAGAGCAATCAGACAAGAAAAAGAAATAAAGGGCATCTAAACTGGAAAGGAAGAAATCAAATTATACTTGTTTGCAGATGATATGGCCTTATATTTGGAAAAACCTAATTACTCCACCAAAAAACTATTCAAACTGATAAACAAATTTAGTAGAGTTGTAGGATACAGCAGCAACATACGAAAATCAGTGCCATTTCTATATGGCAGTGGTGAACCTTCTGAAAATGAAATAAGAAAAGAAATCCCATTTATGATACACACAAATACAATCAAATACCTAGGAATTAACTCAACCAAAGAAGTAAAAAAAACTCTACAATGAATACTATAAAACTGATTTTAAAAAATTGAAGAGGACACTGAAAAAGGAAAGATATTCCATGTTCATGGATTAGAAGAATCAATATTGTTAATAAAATGTCCATATTACCCAACACAATCTACAGATTTAAAGCAATCACTGTCAAAATAGCAGTGACATTCTTCACAGAAATGGGAAAAACAATCATAAAATTTCTATGGAACCCTGAAGATCCAGAAAGTCAATGCTATCCTGAGCAAAAAGAACAAAACTGGAGGAAAAACATTACCTAACTTCAAATTATACTACAGAGGTATAGCAACCAAAAGAGCATGGTACTGGCATAAAAACAGACACATAAACCAATAAAACAGAACAAAGAACGCAGAAACAAACCCACACACATACAGTGAGCCAATTTTTGACAAAGGTGCCAAGAACATACACTGGGGAAGGCTATCTCTTCAATTAATTGTGCTGGGATAATTGGATGTTTATATGCATAAAAATGACACTAGACTTCTGTCTCTCACTGTACACAAAAATCAAATCAAAATGAATTAAAGAGTTAAATCTGATACCTCAAACTATGAAAACACTACAAGAAAACATCAGGGAAACTCTCCAGGGCATTGGCCTGGGCAAAAATTTTTTGAATAATACCCCACAAGCAGAGGCAACCAAAATAAAAATAGACAATTGGATCACATCAAGTTAAAAAAAACTCTGAACAAGCAAATGATACAATCAATAAAATGAAGGGACAACACATAGAATGGAAGAAAATATTTGCAAACTACTCGTCTGACTAGGGGTTAATAACCAGAAAATAAAAAGCTCAAACAACTCTATAGAAAAGCTCTAAGAATCTGATCAAAAACTGGGCAAAAGGTTTTGTGTTAGTCAGGGTTGTCTAGAGGGACAGAACTAACAGGATATAGATACATACACATATATGATATAAAGGGGAGTTTATTAAGTATTAACTCACATGAACACAAGGTCCCACAATAGGCCATCTGCAAGCTGAGGAGTAAGAAGAGCCAGTCTAAGTCCCACAACTGAAAAACCTGGAGTCCGATGTTTGAGGGCACTAAGCATGCAGCATGGGAAAAAGATATAGCCTGGGAGGCTAGGCCAGTCTCACATTTTCACATTTTTCTGCCTGCTTTATATTCACTGGAAGCTGATTAGATGGTGCCCACCCAGATTAAGGGTGGATCTGCCTTCCACAGCCCTCTGACACAAATGTTAATCCCCTTTGGTAACACCATCACAGAAAAAACCAGGATCAATACTTTGCATTCTTCATTCCAATGAAGTTGACACTCAGTATTAACCATCACCAAGTGTACCCCTTGTCAACTTGAACCCACACACATCTCCTGAGATCATACATACTCTTCAAATAAAGATAATAATAAGGTCATAATTATTCCTACCATAATACAACTATCCTTCGTGCAACCAGAAATGCACCAATCCCTAAACCAAATATTATTACATAAAGTTAACAATACATAAATGCTGATATGAAGTCAATAAATCTTATGTCACATGATAAAGGAAATAAAATGAAGATATTTTCTTAGTACAAGTGTATGCACGCACAAACATGTTTTTAACGAAAGGAGGATATACTTATGAGAGTTACAGTCTTCGTTTCTGCAGGTAGTCATGTGGTTGTAGCTGCTATTGATGACTACCTTCTTCTACCACCCATTCTGTGTTCCCTTTGCCTTCAGCAAATAGCTCAGCAGGTCGTGTTTTTTTCCTGGTGGAGTAACCCAAACCTTCATTCCTGAAGGGTCTGGGCCATTTGTAGTCCTGCCTCGATTGGGCTCTTGTGGTTTCCCATTGACGTTAATCACAGGGCATGGTAATACTAAGAGATGCCCTAATGGATCTCCTGTATTCCATGTATACTCTTCTTTACCTTCGTTGTGGAATAATACATCATCTTGATAGTCTGGGTCAATCACTCCAGCCAACTCCCTTCTTAGCCTGTTGACTTAAAGGTAGGAGGAGCCCAAAGCGCCCAGGCGGCAATCTTAACTTCCAGTTTAATGGAACCATTGTTGTGCCTCCTAGTGGCAGTCTTCCTCCCTCTGGAACTAAGACCTCTAGGCCAGGAGAACATAATTTCGTGGGAATAGGAAGCAAAAATTTTGCTAGTGGATCACTAGGGGTGATGGTGAGTGGTGCCACTTCCACTTTTACCCTTTGATTCCTGGACCCATGAGTCCTGGCTATGTGAGAAACAGTACTATATATCAGATGCTGATTCAGAGCAAACACAGCCATCCGGAGAACTTTGCCCCAGCCCTGCAAACTACTGTCACCTAGTTGGTGTTGTAATTGTGACTTCAAAACGCCATTCCACAGTTCTATAAATCCAGCTGCTTCAGGACGATGAGGAACTTGGTAAGACCAGTGAATTCCATGACCATGAGCCCACTGCTGCACTACTTTAGCTGTAAAGCAAGTGCCTTGGTCAGAGGAAATGCTGTCTGGAATACCATGATGGTGGATAAGACATTCCATGAGACCATGGATGGTAGTCTTGGCAGAAGTACTGCATACAGGATAGGCAAACCCATATCTGGAGTGTCTATTCCAGTGAGGACAAACCTCTGCCCTGTCCATGATGGAAGAAGTCCAATATAATCACCCTGCCTCCAGGTACCTGGCTGAGCACCCCGAGGAATGGTGCCATATCGAGGGCTCAGTGTTGGTCTCCGCTGCCACCACAGTAGATACTCAGCAGTGGCTGTAGCCAGGTCAGCCTTGATGAGGGGAAGTCTATGTTGCTGAGCCCACGCATAACCTCCATCCCTACCACCATGGCCACTTTGTTCGTTGGCCCACTGGCCCACTGGGCAATGACGGGGTGGCTGGGGAAAGAGGCTGAGTGGTGTCCACAGAATGGGTTATCCTATCCACTTGATTATTAAAATCTTCCTCTGCTGAGGTCACCCATTGGTAAGCACTCACATGGTATACAAATATCTTCACAGTTTTTGACCACTCAGGGAGGTCCATCCACATACCTATTGCCCAAATTTCTTTGTCATCAATTTTCCAGTCATGCTTCTTCCAAGTCCCTGACCATCCAGCCAAGTCATTGGCTAAAGCCCATGAATCAGTACATAATTGTACATCTGGCCATTTCTCCTTCCATGGAAAGTGCATGCCAGGTGAATTGTTCAAACTTATGCCCACTGGGAAGATTTCCCTTCACCATTGTCCTTCAGGGATGTCCTAGAAAGGGGCTGTAATATCAGCTCCTCTTTTTACCTCTGGTAGAATTCGGCTGTGAATCCATCTGGTCCTGGACTTTTTTTGGTTGTTGGGCTATTTATTATTGCCTAAATTTCAGAACCTGTTATTGGTCTATTTGGGGATTCAACTTCTTCCTGATTTAGTCTTGGGAGGGTGTATGTGTCCAGGAATTTATCCATTTCTTCTAGATTTTCTAGTTTATTTGCATAGAGGTGTTCATAGTACACTCTGATGGTGGTTTGTATTTCTGTAGGATCTGTGCGATATCCCCTTTTTCATTTTTTATTGCGTCTATTTGATTCTTCTCTCTTTTCTTCTTTATTAGTCTTGCTAGTGGTCTGTCAATTTTGTTGACCTTTCAAAAAACCAGCTCCTGGATTCATTGATTTTTTGAAGGGCTTTTTGTGTCTCTATCTCCTTCAGTTCTGCTCTGATCTTAGCTATTTCTTGCCTTCTGCTAGCTTTTGAATGTGTTTGCTCTTGCTTCTCTAGTTCTTTTAATTGTGATGTTAGGGTGTCAATTTTAGATCTCTCCTGCTTTCTCTTGTGGGCATTTAGTGCTATAAATTTCCCTCCACACACTGCTTTAAATGTGTCCCAGAGATCCTGGTATGTTGTGTCTTTGTTCTCATTGTTTTCAAAGAACATCTTTATTTCTGCCTTCATTTCATTATGTACCCAGTAGTCATTCAGGAGCAGGTTGTACAGTTTCCATGTAGTTGAGCGATTTTGAGTGAGTGAGTTTCCTAATCCTGAGTTCTAGTTTGATTGTACTGTGATCTGAGATACAGTTTGTCATAATTTCTGTTCTTTTACATTTGCTGAGGAGTGGTTTACTTCCAACTATGTGGTCAATTTTATTTAATAAATGGTGCTGGGAAAACTGGCGAGCCATATGTAGAAAGCTAAAAACTGAATCTCTTCCTTATACCTTATACAAAAATTAATTCAAGATGGATTAAAGACTTAAATGTTAGATCTAAAACCATAAAAACCCTAGAAGAAAACCTAGGCAATACCATTCAGGACATAGGCATGGGTAAGGACTTCACGACTGAAACACCAAAAGCAGTGGTAACAAAAGCCAAAATTGACAAATGGGATCTAATTAAACTAAAGAGCTTCTGCACAGCAAAAGAAACTACCATCAGAGTGAACAAGCAACCTACAGAATGGGAGGAAATTTTTAACGTCTACCCATCTGACAAAGGGTAATATCTAGACTCTACAACGAACTTAAACATACTTACAAGAAAAAAATCAAGTAATGGCATCAAAAAATGGGCAAAGGATATGAACAGACACTTCTCAAAAGAAGACATTTATGCAGCCAAAACACACATGAAAAAATGCTCATCATCACTGGCCATCAGAGAAATGCAAATCAAAACCACAATGAGATACCATCTCACACCAGTTAGAAGGGTGATCATTAAAAAGTCAGGAATCAACAGGTGCTCGAGAGGATGTGGAGAAATAGGAACACTCTTACACTGTTGGTGGGACTGTAAACTACTTCAACCATTGTGGAAGACAGTGTGACGATTCCTCAGGGACCTAGAACTAGAAATACCATTTGACCCAGCCATCCCATTACTGGGCATATACCCAAAGGATTATAAATCATGCTGCTATAAAGACACATGCACATGTATGTTTATTGTGGCACTATTCACAATAGCAAAGACTTGGAACCAACCCAAATGTCCATCAATGATAGACTGCATTAAGAAAATGTGGCACATATACACCACGGAATACTATGCAGCCATAAAAACAGATGAGTTCATGTCCTTTGTAGGGACATGGATGAAGCTGGAAACCGTCATTCTGGGCAAACTATGGCAAGGACAGAAAACCAAACACTGCATGTTCTCACTCATAGGTGAGAATTGAACAATGAGAACACTTGGACACAGGATGGGGAACATCACACACCAGGGCCTGTCATGGGGTAGGGGGAGGGTTAACATTAGGAGATATATCTAATGTTAAATGACGAGTTAATGGGTACAGGACACCAACATGGCACATGTATACATATATAAGAAACCTGCACATTGTGCACATGCACCCTAGAACTTAAAGTATAAGAATTAAAAAAAAAAAAAGAAAGGGGCTGTAGTGCTATAGCTGTCCACTCTTGGGTGGTGCCTGCATATCGTGCAGAACCACCTGTGGACCAGGCCCTAGTTTCTATTCCTCTGTCAGCTGATCATAGAGAACTCCTCATAAGGTCATCAGCACAGGCCAGGGGAGAGAAGGCAGGGTGGCAGGAATGGAGACCACAGGCATTTGAGCCACTTCCTTGTGTAACGTACTTGTGCCTTCAGGACCTGCTCCAGCCCAATCATGTATATACCACTTCCATTTGATGATGGAATGCTGCTCTGCATCACCCACTTTATGGCTAGATGGGTCAGAAAGCACTCAGTTCATGATAGGCAGTTCAGGTCATATGCTGACTTGCTGACTCATAGTCAAATGTTCAGTTTCCATCAAAGCCCAGTAACCGGCCAAGAGCTCTTTCTCAAAAGGAGAGTAGTTACCTGCAGAAGATGGCAGGGTCTTGCTCCAAAATCCTAGAGGCCTCCGCTGTGATTCACTTATGGGGGCCTGCCAAAGGCTACAAACAGCATCCCTATCAGGCATTTCCAGGTCTCTCACAGTGGGCCATCTTTTAATCCATATTTCAGCTAACCAAGCAAATAAACTATTAGAACCTTTTTTAACTCCCCAAGCTGCAACATTAAATGCTGAGTCCCTACTTAGTGGGCCCAAATCAATACAGTCAGCATGATCAAACTCTATGTTCCTTCCACCATTATCCCACACTCTTACTATCCATTCCCATGCCTGTTCTTCAGATTTCTGTTTATATAAATTGGAAAACTCAAGCAGTTCTTTTCGAGTGTTATGTACCTCCTCATGGGTCACACTCTCAATCTCACCTCTAGGGGCCCGCTGAGACTTTAATCTAGTTACAGGTTTAGAAGCAAACAGGGATATTAGGGGTGGCTCTTGAGGAGAATCAACATTATCTTGCCTGGCAACTGCCTCAGGGTAGGCCATCACTGCTGCCTCAGGCAGTGCAGGGTTTATCTCCTCAGACAAAGGTGGAAGGGCTAATGGCAGCATGGGTTGGGGTGGGGATGTTGCCATCACTAGGAATGGGGAAGTTGTTTCTTCTGGCAAAAAAAGTTCATCAGAGTTTACAAACTCACTGTCCCCAGCTTCATCAGAGTCCTCCAACACATCCCCATTCCAAGTTGCAGGGTCCCATTCTTTTCCAATCAATACTTTCACTTTAATCGTAGATACCTGGCAAGGCTGTGCATGCATCTTTCATTGCAGGCTAGCCACTCGCATGATAAGAGCTTCTGTCTGCTTTTCCACAATTTCAGTTCTTTCTGTATGGAAGATAAGACTCTCACTCAGAACAATATTAGCAGATTTGAGGCTCAGTATTCGCTTCTGAAGCCAGGAAATAGAATCCCTGAGTTCAACTTTTTCTTTCATCACTTTGTCCACTGAACTTTATTAGCAACCAACAAGCTTGGTTGGTTCTCCACATATGGTTAAAGGTATTACGTATAGGTTCACTAAACTCCTTCCCTCTCATGAGTGGTGAATCAGGAGTGTCAAATTCATTTATTTTGCATAACTCTCTAAATAGTTCATGGCAAGGACTGTCTTCTCTATACTGTTAGAAGTAGAGCCCTTAATATTTTTGAGTCTAATCATATTAAGCAGCCAACTCCAGAAACCCCAAAACCAACAAAAGAACTCCATTCTTAATATTCTGTTCCTCTGGAACCACTCCTGGTACCAAAATCTGTATTAGTGAGGGTTCTCTAGAGGGATAGAATAGAGGTTTATTAAGTATTAACTCACACTATCACAAGGTACCACAATAGGCTGTCTGCAAGCTGAGGAACAAGGAGAGCCAGTCTGAGTCCCAAAACTGAAGAATCTGGAGTCCGATGTTCGAGAGCAGGAGGGATCCAGCATGGGAGAAAGATGTAGGCTGGAAGACTAGGCCAGTCTCACCTTTTCATGTTGTTCTAACTGCTTTATATTTGCTGGCAGCTGATTAGATGGTGCCCACCCAGATTAAGAGTGGATTTGCCTTCCCCAGCCCAGACGTAAATATTAATCTCCTTTGGCAACACCCTCACAGAGAGACTCAGGATTAATACTTTGCATCCTTCAACCCAATCAAGTTGACACTCAGTATTAACCATCATAAGTTTCAATAGACATTTCTCAAAAGAAGAAATACAAATGGCAAACAGGCATATGAAAACGTGCTCAACATCTTTGATCATCGAAGAAATGCAAATCAAAACTACAAGGAGATATTATCTTACCTCAGTTAAAATGGCTTTTATCCAAAGACAGGCACTATTAAATACTGGAGAGGATATGGAGAAAAGGGAACCCTTGGACATTGTTGGTGGAAATGTAAATTAGTATAACTACTATGGAAAACAATTTCGAGGTTCATCAATAAACTAAAAATAGAACTACCATATCATCCAGCAATCCCACCACTGGCCATACACTAAAAAGAAAGGAAATCAATGTATCAAATAGGTATCTGCACTTTCATGTTTGTTGCAGCCCTGTTCACAGTAGCCACAATTTGGAAGCAACCTAAAAGACCATCAACAGATGAATGGATAAAGAAAATGTAGTACTTATAAACAACAGGGTAGTATTCATCCATAAAAAGAATGATATCCTGTCATTTGCAACAACATAGATGGAACTGGAGGTCATTACGTTAATTGAAACAAGCCAGGCACAGAAAGACAAACGTATGTTCCCAATTATTCATGGAATCTAAAAATAAAAAAATTAACTGGCTGAGACAAAGAGTAGAATAATAGTTACCAGAGGCTAGGAAGGGTAGTGGAGCAAGGGGGAAGTCCTCTATATACAATAATGTTTTCTTTACTTTTTGAAAATAAGTATGCGTTCATGTATTACTTTTATAATATGGAAATAAAAGAGCATGCCTCAGTTACAAAAAAAAAGAGAGAGACGGGTTTCTTTCAGAGTATTCAGAGTATTTTACTTGCCCTTTCTAGCATAGTAGTCTTTACTATTTGAGTCAGTAAAACGATGTGGGGATTATCCCATCGATGAGTACATCTTGGATGCTTCCAGGAATTGAGGAAATGATTAGTAGGTTATTTTACAGACTCACTGGTTCCATTGTCCAATGGATTTTGGCCAAAATGCTTATCTCTTGACTTCCATAAGTGTCCTCTCTGATGGCTAGGCCACAGAGAATTTCCAGTTTTTCTGGATTATTTCAGCTTTAAATTAACATCCCATTAAAGAATAATGAGTGTTTCACTCTTCCTTAGGTTCAATCAATTTGGTGATTCCTTGCAGGTCTTTTAGCAGAAGGATAAACAGAAAATTACAGGATATACCTATGGCAATAGGATCTGGCTTCCCCTTTGTGCCAAACATTGCAGGTCTCTAAATTGGCTCAGATCTTAGAATTGGATGAGAGGCTCTAATTCTCTATTGTGGAGTAAAACTGTAGCCTCTCCACCAGACTGAATTTTTTGCTTATCAGGGAGGATTACACTGAGTAACTTTCTAATGTTAAACTAATGTTCATTCTTGGGTTATGCTCAAGTAGGTTGTGAAATGTTATACTTCTCATATATTGCTAACATATGTTATTTTCATCTATGTCCACAAGTGAAATTGGTATGCTATTTTTATTCACAAAATTTCATTGTCCTGTTTGGTACCAAGGTAATGGTAGCTTTATTATGTGAGTGGAGTAATGTTCTCTCTTTAGCTATCCTCTAGAAGACATTGTGTAGATTTGAACTTCTTTCTCTTAAATATTTGACAGAATTCTCTTGAAATCTACCTATGGCTTAACTTCTCTGTGGAAATATTTTTGACTAATTCAATTTCTTTCATGGTTATAGGTGCATGAATTTTTCTTTTTCTTGAATTTGCATGTGATGTAAATTTTTCTAAAAATGTAGTCATAACATTTGTTTGAAATTTATTGTTATGACATTTTTCATTACATGTTCTTATTACTTCTTATTATGTGCAACACCTGTTACGTCTAACTAGTAAATACTGATATTTGGTCATCCCTCTCTTCTCTGTCTTATATAATCCATTTTACCAGAGGGATGTCAATAGTATTAGCAATTTATAAGAAACAACTTTTGACTTTGTTGATCTTCCCTATTATTTTTAGTTATTTTCTATTCAATACATATTTTTTATTTTCATTATTTCATCCTTTTTCTGTATTCATTTTGGAATGCTTTATACCTGACCAATAACTTAGAAAAAACAAATATCTCTATTCTTTAATGTCCCTTATTAATAGCATTTACAAATTTGAATAATACAGATATTACCTATAAGAGCAATGCTAACATTAAAAATCTAAAATATGTGGCCCTTTCTTCATGATTATTGAAAGTCAGCAAGGAAATGGCTATTGCAAGCTACATAGTTGAAGACCTTTACTATGCAGACAAATATTTCATTATGCTGGTGTCTCAAATACCTTGGAAAGCAGATTTAAAATTACAGCTTATGTAACTTTAATAGAATTGGATGGAAACCCTTAGAATATTGCTATGTGTTGCCTTCTTTTGTGAGCTTTGCAACATAGGCTAGTTAGAACAGGTTGCTCTGAACAAGCAGCCTTAACAGTTGATAAGATTGTGTCCTCAAGTCCTTCTCAGGCAGGTCCTATAGGAATTTTCAGTTAGACAATGAAAGTGAGTTTAGGAGCAAAAATCAAATTAAGATGTTCGCCTTTCAATCCATTAAAGGTAGAGTAAAAGAATCCAGTAAATTAAAGAACAGTGTGTTCAAGTATAAAAAGTGTCTTTTTATGAGATTTTTGCTTATGATTAGTTGCAGAGGATATTGATTAGAAGCCTACTAAATATTTTACGGAGTTGTATTTCCAAAGAAACACAAACCACCTAAAAAACCCTGTGATTTTTTTAAAGCCTGAAGCAAAACCCTGACTTCATACCTGTACCGCTGGCACGCAGACTGCACAAACTATCCAGCCTCTAAAAACACACTTTTCAATGCTTTGATTATGAAGGATAAGGAGAAGAAAAGTTTCCCAGAGGACAAAACCAAGAACCACAATAGCAATTTCCAGAGGGTATTATAATACAATGAGCTACCATAAGTAAACCAAGGAACCTAATTCAGTGACAAAACAAAGACTTTTCATGACTCTTGCCTAGTGGGATTTGATGGTTGCTACAGATTGGTAACTGCTTAATTTCCTATGCTTCTTTTGAAAAGATATTTTAATACACTTGTGCCATTATTATTTCATCACTACATATTGACATAGGAGAAAAAATATCATTTTCCCTTATGTTTTAATATTCCAAATCTGTTGAGCCACATCAAGTGAACTGCACATCAATTTTGGAATTGTCTTCCTTGGAATATTCATTCTATCTACAAGGAAGACAATTACAAAATTGCATCCAACTCGAAGTCCATCTCTCTGGGTGATGTGCAGTCCTCTCTATCAGGTCTTGTTGTGGCTCCTTATGTTGCAGTTTGATGCATGGGAAGAAGGGATTTGAACTTTTAGAGGAGAGATAAGCAGCGGACCATGGCAAAGACTGATCTTTTCTCCTTAGATATATATTCTACCCCTCTTCTACAGCTAACAGAACTTTAGTGAGGCATATGGCTGCACAGTTATAAAGACAATTTCTAGCCTCCTTTGAATCTAAATGTGCCTGTGTCCTGGCCAATGGGTTATAAGTTAAAAGTAATCATAACTTCTAGGTTATGCCTTTTTAAAAAGTAGCACGCTTTTCCCTTTCCCTTTCCCATTATCTTTTCCCTGTGGTTGGCTGAATATGGATGGCTTAGCAGGAGCTAAAGAGAAGTTATGTAAGATTGGCAGATATGTAATGCCTTAGTAAGAAGAAATAAAGGCCCTTGGTCTCTAATACAGTAAAACACTCATATCATTTCTAGACCATTTATTTTTGGACTCTATATGAGAGAGACGTGAACTTCTATTTTGGCCTTCATTACAAGAAATGAATCTATACTTTAGTAAAATGCTAATGCCAGCCATTATAATGTTTGTATGCAGATAGCTGAAAATTTTCCCATTCTTCTTTTCACATATTCAGAATCATATTATTTGAACTTTGAAGAACACTTGAAGTTTGTATTAATCCATTTTCATGCTAAGAATAAAGACATACCCAAGATGGCAATTTAGAAATGCAAGAGGTTTAATTGACTAACAGTTCAGCATGGCTGGGGAGGCCTCAGGAAACTTATAATCGTGGTGGAAGGGGAAGCAAACACTTCCTTCTTCACATGTCAGCAGGAAGCAGAAGTGCTGAGCAAAAGGGGAAAAGCCCCTTGTAAAACTATCAGATCTCATGAAAGAACTCACTCACTACCATGAGAACAGCATGAGGGTAACTGCCCCCACGATTCAATTACCTCCCACCAGATCCCTCCCACAATACTTGGGGATTATGGGAACTACAATTCAAGATGAGATTTGGGTGAGGACACAACCAAAATATATCGAAGTTATTAATGAAGCTCAGCCCTGCCCCCTTTTGATTTGAAACAGATACAGTGGCAAAAAAATACCAAAATTATTCTTATAGTAACTGATCTGTCCACTGCATTTCTCTCTTTGGCACTGGTAATCCTCCATTACTGTTTGAGTTTCAGTGGTTATTTTAGTTATTGTTTTCTGCCTTATCTCCCTGCATTTAGTGAAATCTCTACACTCCTCCTGGTACTGAACATAATAAATCACATCATACTCAAGCTATCTGGAAACTAAACCACTGGCATTTAAGATAATAAATTTCACAGCAAAAGCCCTTCTCTCTTCTACCACTAATCTGTTTTCCATCCTCAGTCTATGACTAGTTGGAAATAACATTGCTTTGGTGTTGAGACTGCAGAGGATATAGAAATTCATACTTTGTGATAGTTGATAAAAATGAATTTTATCAGGAAAATGAGAAAGTGTCTTCATATAATGAACTTTAGATAACTGTAGAAAAATAATCTGGGTATTTACTGTGAGATGAATACTTAGATTACTCAACTAGACTAGCAGAAAAAAAATTATTTTTTGGATTTTGTATTACATTGAGAATTTAAAAACCCTTGAACCCTAAAGGCCTCCCAAATGCACTTAATATACCCAATGACTGTTATGTGGTTTATTCCATGCTTCCAAGAACATTTATTCTTTTTAGGTAGGTGAACAAACGTTGCAAGGAATATTCATAAGTCATGTTTTGAGTCACTAGTGGAACCTGGACTGAATTCTTGAACCTTTTCTCAAACCAGTTTAGTTCAATTTTTACTACATTGTATATACCTGAAAATTTTCAGTGCTGTATATGAAGCATTGTTTTGCATGACTCTCTGATTTTCACATTTTCTTATCATATTTTTAGTTGGCTATGTTTTACCCTTTTTTAAAGTCAGTCTAACCATCTAATCTTACAACATCACATTTCTTACCCTTAGGTTGTAGGTGTGCATTATACAGCTTATCACATTTGGGTTATGCACAGATGGTGGGTCCAAACCACTAAAATTTACTAAGCATGTCAATGCAAAATACAACAAAAGAGGGAGTACTTAAAGAGATTAGCCCTGACATTGGTGAGCCTAAATATGTCTTTATAGATGTGTCCTTTGTAGATGTTAGAGGCTACTTGTGTGTAATAAATGTGTGATAAATTAAATGTCATAAAGTGAGGTGTTTAGAGTCCATGGAAATGAAGTAAAAACTCATTTTATAGCCAATTATCTGACTACAGGTTGGATGATATTAAGCCATCAATTATCTTTTTCCTAAGCATGCAGCAAGGTATCTTGTATTTCCTTTAGCATCATACTTTTCCAGGATTTGGCTATTCTGAAAAAGTTGAATGATAATGGGATTCTTTTTACTCTTTTTCAAAATTAAGATTTCCTTCTTTATACTTTCAAAGAAAACAGAATTCAATTTTCTCAGCTCTTTTTCATCAAACCATAAGGAAAGATATATGTTCTCAGAAGCACCAGTCACACCCGAAAGGAAAGTGTTTGTCAATGGCTCAATAGACCAATCAATGATGTATACTTTTACAACTGTATGGGTACAGTGAAGTACTTATAATAATAATAATATTGTACACTGATAGAAGTAACAAATATTATTATAGAAATATCCAAACTAATCAGTATGATGAAGCCTCATATGCATTACTTCTCTCCATCCCTCCTGCCACTTACTCTTTATTCTGGCAGTATGATGATTCCCCCACATTCCTTTCTGTCTTTGTTTTGTGATCATTTACTATGTGTAAGGTAATAAGAATGTTAAAGAAAACAACACTGCCAGCCAGCTATCAAGATCCATGTTGTATAGAGAAGAATAAACTTATACAAGTGAAAAGAATAAATAGCAAGCGCCCACGTGAATGACACAAACAATATAATAACAACAGCAATAAAATGGTAATTAATATTCATTGAGCATTTACTACTATCTGTGCTAAACTCTTCCAGGTACTATATCACTGAATCCTCACAGCATCTGTGTGAGACATGAACTAGTAGTATCCTCATTTTACAGACTGGGAAGGATTCAAGAGGTTATATAACCCACGTAGGTTTACCCAACTGCTAAGGGATAGAGATGGAACTGGTTTTCTGAGATCATAACTTCATAATACTCTAAAATGAAGAAGCTATTTTTTTTTCTAGGCATCACTCGGATGGTGTAATTAAATGATGTATAGAATACAACTTATTCATTATAAAATAATTTTTTTATGTTGGGGCACAATGAAGGCACTACTTTCATATGATTTCAGCTTATGGGAAGAGAGAGATTTCCCCAGGGTTTTAGTTCACCTTTGGTTAGAATTGGTGCTCAGCCAACCTTATTTCCATAATGTTTTGAAGCCTTGCTGTATTAAACTATATTCAGGATAAACATTGACAAATCAGTGTGGCACATACTTAAGATTTCAAGTTTTCAAAATCCATCCAAGATAACTTAACAGGATAAAAACATTGTTCCTAATATTGCAGAAGTTACCATGGTATATTTCAAATCATAATTCTGAAACCGAATCAGCATACGTGATCATATTACTAATTGAATCTATAGCAAATATAGAAACAGGTGCATGCATAAAAATCTACTTTGATAATTGAAATCCATTTTGAATAAACAACAAACAATATATCTTAAGTTGTCATTACTGTAGTATTCAAATGAAAAGAGATTCATGAATGATTATGCAAATTTTCAAGAAACACATTCAAAATGCGGTTTAAAAGCAGTGTGCAAAACATGAAAAGATGTCTATGCCTTGTTTTCTTTGGGCGATTAAGGTACTTGTATTTCATAAATCTAATATTTAAGGAGGACGAAGCTGGTAATTTAGTTGTCATGGCACAGATATAACTATGGGAAATTCCTATAAATATTGTTAGTCAATGAGTGTTGGCCAGGAAGTTTGAAAATACATGATTCATGGGGAAAGAGACAAAAAAAAATCTTCAAACCATGAGACAGTATATAAAGAAACAAAGAAACAGGTGATTCATTCATTCATTATTAATTAATTCAATAGATTCTTATTAAGCACTTTCTGTTTGCTGTGCAAGATAAACAAGTGGGCATGGCCTCTGCCTTCACAGCACATTTTAGCGAGAGGTGCAGAGATTCTAAGACTAATAGCCCAATTCATTATTTAAGTAAAATTGTGATAAATGCTCCTAGACATCAGAGTGGACTATGAGTGTCTTAGGAGGGCTTAAATTAGTGGGAGGCAAAAAAAATAGGGGGCATGGCAGGCACATCAAAGATAGATTCATTAGTGAAGCAACATTTGGGCTGAGATCTGAACACACAAGGTCAACTGATTATGTGAAAGAGGAAGACAGGCAGATTCTTTTGTGATGTGAAGTCCAATGCCAAACAGAACTGTCATGGACATAACATGGAATGGAACCTCAATGGTAACAATAACCTCTACCATTTGTATAGTATTATCTACGTGCCAGTCACCATGCTAAGAACTGCACATATATTTATTCACTTATTTATTTATTATACCAACACTCTGAAGTAGGATTCATTATTATCCCCCTTTAAGGATGAGAGAACAGAAGTGAAATAACTCCAGGACCATGCTGCTGGTTTGTGGCAGAACCAGTTTGAGCCCAGGCCATCTGCTTCCAGACACTACACTCTTGATCACTACCCATCCAGTCAAGGCAGTCAACTGTAATTGTCCAACCTTAATGTGAGTTCTAAACAATGATTTTTTTAAATAGCATGGTAAGGTATTTGCTATAGAGTTGAGCGTAATAATGGTAGAGAGAGAGATGTTTGAGAAAAATGCTGTATTTGGAAGAGGTACCACATGGTAGTTAAGTCTACTCTGGAACCAAACAGCCAGAATTTGACTCCCTGCTCCACCATTCCTTATTCTCTGTGTGAAGTTGGGCAAATTTCTTCAGTTTTCCAAGTATTGATAACTATAAAATTGGGATAATAATGATGTTTCATCACAGGATTGATGTAGGGTTTACATGGGATAATAAATGTTCAGTATATCCCCGGCACAGAGTATTTGCTCAACACATGTCAGCTATTATCATTAGCAGATAAAAAGATTGAAAATGAATGTCAAAGAGGACTTTGAATGCCTTTCATAGGAGTGTAAATGTTACTCCATAAGCAACAGGAAACCAGTGAAGTGTTGTGAAACAGAACAACTTAAGCATGCAGAATAAATTATTAGTGATAATCTATAGTTTAAAAGTGTTCTCAAACAGATTATTTAATTCAACATTCACCAGTCTCAGGGGCTGGGGGTGGTGGTGATATTCTGATTACCGTTCTGCAGATAAATAAACAAAACTTTGTTTAAATGTCTTGACCAAGAGCTCATGGGCCTTAGTAGCATAGCTGTGATTTAGATTCAGGACTTCTAGTCAAAGAACAGTATAATTTTCACTGTAACACAGCTGGCAGATGATTTTAAAACACATTGTAAAGAGGCTATGTGGCAAAAGTGGGGGCAAAGCTGTTTTGGTTATTCTAAATTTGAAGTAAATTTATTTTTTAAGTTTTAAATGACAGTGGGAGAAACATAGGTATCCACTGAAGGTTTGGGACGCTGCAAGATTTGGTGTCGTTCCCATCTTTACCATTCTTTAGCTTTGTGAGAAGTCACAGACAAGTCATTTAACCTTTATGTTCCCCTGTTCGAGAAAAGAAAAATATCTCATTCTTGGGAGTACCCAAGCAATCAAATAGCTCCCATGCCACCTGCCACCCTCCAAAAAAGCCACAACAGAAAATTCAAAAGGCAAACACACACATCATTGTTGTTTTAAAAACAAGAACTTCCATTTCCAACCTTGATTTTTTAAAACCTGTAGGAAAAAATAAAGTTAGGGCCACTGGAATTGAGAATCTATCAAATATTTTTGTTTGTTTATTAGAATAAAGTCAAATATATAGAAAACTGGGAAGATTTTTAATGCCGTTAACACACGTTAACCCATTAATAGTAGCAATGTCGTGTTGTTTTCCATTTATTGACACTTTCACTAGAAATATTTTGGGCACCCTTTTTCCTTCAGTTTGAACTGTCTTGGCTTGTTATAGATATCATATGTACTGAATGATATTTTTCCAAGTCCAGTACTCTATCCAGAATTAATGCTTTGTTTTGTTTTGTGTTTTCCAGTTTTAGGGCTTTGCTTTCTGTGCTCCACCATAATTCCAGACATATAACTTTCTTACTTAGAGGAACAACAGTGAAATCCTAAGGTTTTTATATTATTCTCACCTTCCTTTATTGTTCTTAATCCTTCTAGAGGTAGTTGGGGTTGGGATGGAACTGCCTACTCATTCCTTTCTTTTTCTATAATCATCTGAATTTATATCTGATAATGCCTGGAGGAGAATTTTGAGATTTCTAAAACTTTTCTCAGATACAATGCCATACATAGTAGAAATTTCTATAGGATTATTTATTTTGGGGGAGTTTGGTAACCAACAACATATTGTAAGTCTTTATAAAATTACTGCTTGAAAAATAATGGAACTTCGACCTGTAGAATTTATGTAAAACCTGGAACATAAGATCTTATTTAACTGCTTGAAAAAAACCTGTATTAAGAATTTATTTTTCCCCATCTCCTTTGCCTAAATTAGATAATCTGATATCTTTCTCCTGAAAGTCATAAGAAACCAATGTGAAGAATCTTTACGTGAAAGAGAGTATACGAAGAATGATGAGATAACAGACATAAATATGTTAGAGCTTGGTTTTGTTGGAATGTTAGAGACAGCACAGTGTTTTATATACTTGTGAGACAACTTGGCTCACATGATAATAAAATCTATATTACAGAAAAGCAGTCAGCATATGAAGGAATTTTATTATTCTGCAAAGGTAATCTTGATTTATAATAAATTAATGTTCTTTGCCACACTAGCCACAAAGATGCTTAGAAACTAAGATAACTAGAATCAGAATAACCATTTGAAACCATGTCGTCCAACATTCTTATTTTATACAGGAGAATTCTGGGGCTCAGGAGACAGGTGAAATGGTTAACCAAGGTCACCATATTTCTAGTTTGAGGCTCCAACTAGGACCCTGACATACTGATTCTAGTGCACATCCCCTGCATTAAACCTTATTTTTTTTCAGTGTGCTCCATGTTTTGTTCACCTCAAAACAGAAAGACCTTATCTGGGATTGAGTTTTCACTCACAGGTGAGAACAAGCAAGATTCTAGACTAGTTCCCAATCTGAGTCAATTTGAAGCAAAGTACTGGATAATAATATATGCCAACAAATAAAACAAAACTAATAAGAAAGGGATGTTTTGTGGGCCAAAGAAGTGACTTTCACACAAGTAGAAGTAGGATCAGTGTTGAATGCACTGTAAGATGGAGGAGCAAATGAATTACATACAAAGATACTTCAAATTGATTAAGGCAGCAAAAGACTAGCCAAGGACATTCACAGGCAACCTTATTAAAACATTTCTTCATTCTTCTTCACAAAAATCTTCCAAATCCTTGACCTGGAAGGCAAAGGCATCCAGGTAAAGAGACAGCTCATACACCATTGCACATTGTCAGAGAGCAATGCCTTTGCTTTCCAAAACCCACCAAAATTAAAAATGTAAAAGCCAGGTAAGTATGCTAAATATGGTTCATGTGACATTATTGTGCAACAGAAGCAATGACAGATGATAAAAGGAAGGCTAGATTACAGTTTGAAAATCTGTGTAATGAATGCTTCTTCCTAGTCACTGCCCAAGCAAAAGGGAGAGAAAGCAGTACCAACCTGAGGAAGGCTTCCCAGCAGAATGAAGGAGGGAAATATGCTTGGCGTAACTGTTAAGTTTTATCTTAGGGGCTGAAGGGCACTAGGCATTCATTGTGAGTAAAGAGTGGCATGCTATTTTAGAAGCTGCTTTCAGGAGAGAATACATCTGTGAAGTGGAGGGCTGTCTTCACAAGTAAAAAAATAAAATAAAATTGAATGGGTTATGTTGATGTGGAAAACCTTGAAATCAAGTCCAAAAGCAACCTAGAATACTTGTCCCCAGTACTTGTATTTTCTTTCAATACAGACAGCCGCTTTCTCTTCACTACACAAATTATAATCAACCACCAGGCTTAGGAAGCAGTGTGATGTGATCAAAAGTCACTCGACTGCCCTTCTGTCCTCCTGCAAATATACTCACTGAAGTGAAGTTTCTCACTGAAAAGTTTTCCATCACCCTTGTCCTACAGTCATGTGTGACCTCTGAAGCCTCTTGTCTTGTGTTTCTATCATCACCAGTCAAGTCGCTCCAAAGCAATGGAGAGAAAGAAAACAGGTGAAAAGTAAGGGCCACCTGTGATGACAGATGAGCAAGGAAATCACCAAGGCAACTGAAGGGAGGCACATTTGGAAGTCCTAAAAGAAGCCAAAAATGAAAGGGCTTTACTTTTCCCCAAGGAAGTGCACAGTTTCTCTCTACCACCAAATGTTCAGTGGAGTTTTCAGTGTTTGGGAAATGATAGTAACTCCACTCTGAAAAACCACCAACCTGATCATTGGTGTTTCCATGAGCAACCATGATAGGAGGAGCTGCATTAATGAAATCACTCATAGCTAGAGGGAGATGAGGGTTATGAGACTGAGAGCTATATATTAGCAGGTTTGGTGAAGACTAAAACCTTCCATAAAAGAAAAGAAGGCAATGCTTTAGGGACTATTTAATGTACTCCATGGCCATAGGGGGGAGGCTAAAATTATTCAGGTTAGGCTGTCCATTCTATGAAAATTTATGCCAAAGTGAGGCTCTAAACTAAGGAAATGGGTTTGCACCACTGGTTATCAGACTTACCAATGACTGGTTTATTTGGTCAAAAAGGTCCAAATATGGAGGGGAAGATAAACACTGATTGCCCTCTCTATTACTAAGGTACTCAGCATATGGACATCTTATAAACTGATCTTATAATCATTCATTACTGATAATGAACTAAGCCTTTTTCACAAAAGAAAATGAATTTGTCACTTCCTTCAGCCAAACATCAAATATTTGGAAGGATTTTGACAGATTCTATAGATTTATTTATTTAGGTGAAAACACCAGTAGAATACTAGGCAGATAACCAGAGGATTCATATAGATTTAGGCAAGTGTAGCAAATTTGCAAATAAAACTTTCAGTGTTTTGTTTATGGATGATCAAGTATCTCTTGGGGGAAAGGAAATCTGTGTGAAGGTTTGGCTCAGTGTCAGTGGGTCAGATTAAACTGAGAGGCAGACTACAGAGTTGTCATTCTCTGGTGCTCGAGTTTAGAGAGAGTAGGCTACAACCAAAATAGTGAGCAGAAACCAAAGAAAACTGCTTCACTATGAGCACTATGGAATAAGTGTTAGGGTTTTGGAGGGAAGGGTCAGTGAATTACAGTCAATTTTCCTCTTCAGAATTCAAAACTAATCAAAAGACAGACACAAGAAGTATGCAGTGATTTAACAAAAATGCCTATATTATGAACTGTTAAAAGATAAACATAAGCACATTAAAATTTTAAAAAGTTGGAGGAGACAGCAGTTTATAAATCAGGCAGCTCCAGACCACAAGCAGTTTCTGGGCTGTAACAAAAGGGTGTGGGGGCGAGGGTGTTAGGGAAAGGATTTTACAAGGTGAACACAGGTGCAAGACAAAGAACACTTTTGCAGAAGCCTCATTTGGAGCATTCCAGTGGAAAGTCTTCAGTGAAAAGTTAGTTGATGTTTTTCGATTAAGCTCAAGTTTTGTTTTACCATTTACACTGGTTTTAGTTTGCTTATGTAAGAACACTGGGCACTAGAGCAGCTTTAGCCTAATGGCCTCCCACTTATGTGTTTTTATTGCTGTTGTTGTTTTTAACAGAACCAAACCTAGAATGAAAGACAAAGTTTCTAGCTACACCCAAAAGGATTTTACTAACGCTTTATCCCTGAATTAGGCAGACTTACCTAACCAGCTCCTGGCTCTGCTGGACAGCTGCATGATGCTTTCTGCATTTCGGAGAGCAGACTAGAGATAATTCATCAGGGACTGAGCCACACAATCCCAGTGACCACTGCCAAACCTACTCATCAGATATGTGCTTTACGTCTCTTCTCCAAGGAAGAGGAAATGTGGAGGGGATACTGGGAGTATGGTTGGGTGTGCTGTGTTTCTTCCCAAGGAAACATGATGAATGGGGAATACGTAGTTTTCTCAACAATACAAAGAATACAAGGAGTCAGCAGATGAGGGGCTAGAAATAAAAAGGGACAATGGAGATAGTGCTCTTAACGGACTTAGTCCTCCCCACATATGGTATAAATAACTGAGGGTATAGACCTCAGACAATAGTAGTGGGAATTGTTTTCAACCCCATTTATGGCATGGAAGATAATGTGTTCGCCCAAAGCCCACAATATGCTGGAGTGCATGCCTCATGTTAATAAAATGTAAAATTATGTTTCAAGTAGTTTAAACCTTATATGTAGATAATTACATACAATTAGAGTATCAATTATCCTTAAGGTCTCCCCATTTCAACCATTTGGAATCAATGAGAAGTATTTGGTTGAATAAACATTTCTTTTTAAAGATTCATTACATTTCAGGCACTGTTTTGACAAAAGACATAGTGAGATAAATTAGATACATTCCCTGCCTTAAAAAGTTCCTATCAAATAGAATTTGTAGACATGTAGTTAAATAGTTGCAATAAAACAAAAGTGCATTGACAGAGGCCATGGAAAAGTAGAAAATAAAGAAATGTGTTCAGATCTGCTTGGACTTCAGCAAAAGCTAAAAGTATCCTTCAACAGGCTCCTGAAAAATGAGATGTCATCCATTGGAACTGAAGTGAGTAAAGGCATTCCAGGTAGCAGTAGCAGCAATTCTGATAAATAATGGAATTATCTGAGAAATTATAGATAATGCAATTACTAAAAGTAGAATTAAACTGGAGGATTGACAAGAGGTAAAGGTCATGATGTAGGTTGAGGCAAGCTCTTAAAATATATTGTGTACCATGTTCGTGTTATTATTACCACAATTTTATTACTTTGGTTTGCTTTTGCTCTCTTCTTTAGCAGTAGATATTGGCATCTCTTGCTAAAAATTAGATGGGGCCTAGATATCACCTTAGAACCACTGCAGTTTGTTGCACTCAGAAGGGTAAATAAACAGCGAAAAGTCCCAATCTTTCTGGGAGGAAGGGGAGGTTCCATTCTGAGAGGAGTTTAATACTGAGCTTGGTAGTTCTACTTATATGATGTAGTAGACATTGGTCTCAGTCCTACCAGCATTTGTGGGGCTGATTTGCATGGCAGGAGGTAATTTCATGACAAAAAAATAGATTTAGAGATCTACAGTACTTTCTGACAGCCTATAACTGACCTTGTTGTTGGCAAGTAATTGCTCCCCCAATTACTGTTACAAATGAGCTTGGCTTCAACACTGATGATAGCTGCAGAAGAGAAATGACCTCCTCCACTAGTGAATGTTGGACCAAAACTTTAAGGTCAGTTTTATCATTTTGAGAAGTCTCTCATTTTCATATAGTGCAAATTTTCTGAAGAAAAAACTAATCTTTCTCTTTGTTCTGCCACAAAGACTCACCATTCCTGAACCACACAGATGCAAGCACCACTTGTCCACAATAGCTGATTATCTCTGCCACCTCCTCCACATGAGGTGAATGAAGTGAAAAGAATTTTAAATCAAAGGACTTCAGCTAGCTTGGCTGGAGCCCGTCCACTAAGCAAACCACTGGGGAATGGGCATCTTTGTCTTTAATATTT
The DNA here is from genome assembly GCF_000001405.40 of Homo sapiens. NCBI lineage: Eukaryota > Metazoa > Chordata > Mammalia > Primates > Hominidae > Homo > Homo sapiens. The sequence continues at coordinate 49,564,411 of NC_000002.12, forward strand.
GTCATTATAGATAATGACACTGCCTTAGTACAAGTGACTGCTATGGAAAATGGGATTCAGTCATTTTCTTTACTTGGGACTCAAATTATTAAGTTAGTTTGCACAGAGCCTCTAGCATTTATTAACCACACTCAGTGTAACGAGATTGGACTGATCCAGTGGAGCTTTTCTTTATCACTCAACATGCTTACGAGTACTAAAGAACCCCGGGAACATATAAGGAAGGAAAGAAAGATCCTTGAAAGAAGGAAAACTGGACTTTTGAATATCTTGCTTTGCTTGTATAAGAACCACTCAAGGATTTTGCACTTTTAGAACTGACTGGGACAGTTTTTGAGCTCCTAAAATCTGTAGAGTGTCACTCTGGTTTAATGAAGCTGCTATAGATTTCTCCAATAACCAGGAAGGTGACACTCCATGGTTAGAATCAAGGGAGATAAACATGATCAAATGTGCTTTGTAGCAGTCCCTACTGGCAATGATATAGTGAATGATTAGCAAGGAAGCTATTGCAAATATTCAGGTCCAGATTGAGCAAAGCAGTAGTGATGGGGAGAAGGAACTATATCAATACTTCCTCACTGAGTATATCCACATACCATTAATGTATATTTTATTTTAGGGCATTATTCCTTGGGAAATATTTATTGCAATCCAAGTATGACAAGTTGGCTCATGTCTCAATGGATCATTTATTTGAAGGAAATGAATCAGGCCACGTCCCACTTTTAATGACTTGGTTTGGAGCCATGTTCTCTGGGGAATGTCAGTTTCCATCTTCCTCCTAACTTTATTCCTGTGTGAAGAGTCTGGATTTTCATCTTAAAAGAAATATCAGGTGCTGGTTCTGTATAGAGTAAGTTGCTGCCAAGATGAAAAAGCTGCCTAGAAGCAATAATTGAAGGGTCAGACAAAAATAACTGTCCAAATGGTGTTCTTATAAAATGTTCCAGAGTAACTTGTAGTTAGAAAAAGTTAGACTTGAAGGCAAAAAAAAAGGTGTAATCTTGAATTTTGTCTATTGATCACATGCAGAAGAGCTGGTTGTATATATTTTCATAATACTTTGGTAGCCAATACAATTTATGGCAAAATATTTTTCTGAGCCAAAAGATAAACTTATAAGACAAAGAATTGTAGCCATGTATTTAAAAAGATAATGCTTTGTTTTAGAAATGAAGTACTTTGCATCATGCATTGGAATGAAAATAGAATGAACAAACAACTAAGGAAATATAGTTTGAAGTTATTCAGCAAACACATGATAGTTATTTTCATTGTTTCTGAAATTATGTTATATATTTTAGGAAGGTGCACACTATAAGCTTCTGTTGTGATAGATATAAAACAACAAAGACAATAACAACACACATACAAAAACAAACCCAACCAAAACTATAAAATGTGTCACATTCCTGGAGGGAAGAATAAAAGCCCACCAACTTCACAAAAATAAATAAAGTTTTTGTGTAGATTAATATCTACCTATTAATGGCTCATATTTCCTCAGAAAAAAACTCTAATTAGAAATATTCTGTAGATGAAGGATGGGAAGAGATAACCATAAGAAATTCAACTTAGTTCTCTAGTACATGCTATAAAAGCTACATTTTCACCACCACAAACTAGTGAATCAAAGGTATTGAGGATTCAAGCATTTTTTTCCCCAGCAGTGGATGGGCCACGTGCTCCAATCCAGCTGTCTTTTTATATTAGTGAAAAGGCTGAAGAAGCAAAGTGAAAAGGCTGAAATTTGGAGAAGCAAATTTAATTTAAAGTTAGAGAGCAATATATAATAGTGGTAAAAGAGGAAGATAATCCTCAAAACTTTCAACTTTACCCTCTTTTCTCCTCCATCTTGGTATTTATAATTTATTCCTTCATAGGCTACCAATACACTATATTAATTTGCAATCAGAAGAAGACTAGTTAAGTAAAAAGGGAAATGGATTCTAAAAACAAAATAGTATATAATGGAATATAAAGGCCAGCTAGTTTAAGTCTTAGGCAAAGACTAGAACACCTATAAATCTCTCTCTCTCTCTCTCTCTCCCCCCCACTGTCCCTCCTTCCCTCCCTTTCTCTCTCCCTTTATTTATTTAGGAACTTTATTTTATTTAGGGAATTTATTTTATTTTATTTAGGAAATTCCTGACCACCCCAGACATTCCAGGTTTCCATATCAGTGCCAGTGATGCTCAGAAATGAATGACCCTCTCTTGCTCAGTCACAATTCTAAGAGAGAGAATTAGACTGTCTCAGCTTGGGTAATCAGGTATGGTCAGGGGATGGGATCACAGTTTAAATTTAATGATGGTTGGTGGAGAATCAAACTATGGCTCATAGTTCAGTTATTGAAGAAAAGCAGATGACTCTTGAATTGTAGAGATACCCCAAAGAGTGTTTACTATGCCAACTTGAATAACGTACTAGAAGTACAATGTCTAAAATGCCTTAGTTTATCAAGAGCTATACGTATTTCTTATTTCTTTCTGATATTTCTGAATAAGGAATAAGAAAGTAGGATGTCACCCTGCAATGGAATAGATACACTGATTTATTTTCTGTCAGTTAGTGTGTATGTGTGTTTAAGATCAAATTATTTCTTGACTTTCTTCTACAATAGAAAATAGAAAGGCAGTCAGCACCAAAGTCAGCTTCTTGCCCTTGACTCTACCACCTTGTCTACAAAATTCTTTTACCATATGCTCATTGCAATGTTCAAGCAGATCTATATTATGCAGGAACCATATGTTGATTTTGCAATAGCATATTTTCTATCTTTTGAAACTGAGCCCACCATATTGTGGACGCAGGCAGTGGGAACCTCAATATCCCTCATTTGAATGTCAAGATGGCATTAAACATGTGTGCAAATGGTGCAGCTAGATATATGATTGCTTGGCTTGAATAAGTGAATGTAAATGACTGACAGATAATTCTACCTTGTTGAGAATCCCATGAAGATTCTCAAGATTAGAAATCAACCCAAGGCAAAAGTCTTGCTCTGTTTTGGGATCTTCAACTGTCTTTTGATCTCTGCTGAAAGGCTCTTGCTTTTTTCCTATAGTTTCCAACTTAAAGATGTTTTGGAATTGACTTTCAAAATGACAGTTGTTGGAAGAAAAGTGAAGGACAGCTTAAAAATTAAATTTGAAAAAGTAAAGCTGTCATATTGAAATTATGATGGATTTTCCTTCACAACTTTTTACAGAGATGAAGCTTTATTTTGAAAAGTTGATAACTGTTATCCTTATGTTCATGTGTCTACATATATGTTCTATGTATTCTCATACTTTTAACTTTAGTGAAAGTTTCTTTTTAAAGGAATAAATTATTCTGTTTTGGTTGGGTGCCTAAAATGAAATCACTCTTCTCTACCCTAAAGGGTGTATCTGATAAACTAGTGAGAAACATTGAATATTGTATATTTTTGAAGCAAAAGAAGGTAATTCACAGAGATTTTTTTAAAAGGTCTTTTTTAAGGTTTTTAGAGAACTTGTTAAAAAACACCCACAACCATATTTCGAGTCACATTTCTTCTCCTGTCTCTTCTCTCCACAAAATGCTCAGACTGCCAATTTAAAGGAAAAACATAGTCAAGCCAGATAAAAAGCATTCAGATGAAGAGACAGTTAATTGTGGATGGTGGGGTGGTGGGGGATGGTGACCAAAGCAATCTGTTGTTTTCTTCAGAATGACTACATTTAGCCATTTCTTCCCCTGACCCATGAGACATACAGTCTAGCATTCACTAGTCTTAAGTCCCAGGTTGTAACAGTGTTGATCCACAGTGGCGAATCTTCCCCATCGTCAACCTTCTTTTGGTCTCAGTCTTGGGAGGGGAGCTTGGGAAGGAGGAGTTAGGAACTCATAGATAAGAAAATAAGGAGAGAAATGAGTAAGAATGTGAGCAACTGGAATCTGTGGTTTAACAATTTTAAGCAGTAAGCAAGAGCTTCTGTCTCTTCATCTAACCCAAATAAAACCATGAAGAGAGGCAATGTATTAAAATGTGATTGCTAAAGGCACTTTTCAGCTTCATTTTTAGCTCATGGCATGACAGCCCACTGAGTTGTCATGAGAAACAAAAATTAGAATAAAACATAAATTCAAACTTGTATAAATGGTGCATTTTAATGCTTCCTTGCTCCTTTATGATAGCAAAAACTAGGCTTTCATTCTGAGTTTTGACCATCTCCTACTCACGCTTTGACCTTGGTTCCACTCATAATTATTACAGCATACAAACAGCTAGCTTTCTTATCTGTATAATGGGAATGCTAACAGTACTTACTTCATAACTACTATTGTAAAGATTGAATAAAACAATGGATATATAATACTTAGTAGAGGGCCTGGCTACTAGTAAGAGGTAAAAGAGTATTAACTATCTTACACTCATGATTTTTTTGTTAGAAATTATATACTTACATGTATAATATAAACTTATAAATATAATTATAATCTGTTATGAGTCAGAAGAATTGGATTCTAGTACTGGCTTTGCCACTAAGAAAATGGAAGTGCTTCCGATAGTCACTTAACACTTCTGGCCTCATGTGATGAAATGAAAGGTTTGGGTTAGATAATTGATATGGTAACTTCTGGGACTAACATTCTGTGTTTTATTTCTCCACTGCAAATGTTTTCTACATTGAGAATGGCTGAGCTAGGGATCCCCCTCCACAACATAGTTCTCTTTTTAGAAATGCATAGATAAGAAGCTTTTCTTCCAAGAATCAGTTTGATGGTCAGCACCAAGTGTCACTTTCTTAGAAATTTCTGAGTCCATGCCCAGTAAAAAAAAAAAAAAAAAAAAAAAAAATGTATTTCCTTACAATTGAATATTTTTAGAAAAAAAAAAGCTAGTACAGTAACAGTACTGGATGAGCAGTGGGGTCTGATGGGAGTATGAATCATATCACAGGAATTATGGAGCAGTACAACAGTGGCTGAGGGAGAGAGCATACTGTGTAGAAGCAGATCTGGGTGGAAAGCCAGCAGTAAAACTTCTTCTGGGATCTCTAGGCACCAAATCTGATTTCATATGTGGTTCTGGCAGCGGAAGCTTCTAGGATCCCAAAAGGATATGGATAAAAGACAGTGACTAGGAATGGGTTGGAGGAAAGTATTGGCTAAAAAACAGACAGTCAGTGGCTTTCATTCAGGGAGTTTGTCCATAGGAAGCTAAAAATCAAACGGGAGTGTGTTTCAGGATAGGGGTAACCAAGAGCAAATCCAGTCCTGGAAACTGTGGTAACATTTGGATGCAGGAGAGAAAAATTACAGGGACAAATTCCTGGACTCCACTGTTCACCATCATGGCAACTGAATATTGAAAAAAGAGAAAACAATCTGGAGCTACCCTTTATTTCAAGGGACCACTCTAATATAATAATTGATAAGGTAACTTCTGGGTCTCATATTCTTCTGTGTCTCCCTTCTCCATTGCAAATGCTTTCTACAATGAGAATGGCTGAGGTAGAGATTCTGTCTCCAAAATGCACAGATCAGAAGTAAGCTCTCCTTCCAGAAATCAGTCTGATGGTCAGCACTGAGTCCAATATGAGTCCTGAGGGAGAGGTCTACATACCAGATACTTGTTCTGAGCCACTTAAAGATGAGGTTTTGGTAAAACAGATGGGCAAAAGGATAATATGCAATCTTGCTCTGATTTGGTCAAGGAAAGAACACTTTAAAACATCAAAAACATTGATCTATATTTGACCCGAATTACAATCCTGTCCTTTTTGCTGTGATTACAGTAGAAAGTAAACTGGGTAACCACTACAACAGGTTCTTTATTTTCCGAGTCAAGGTAGCACTAGAACTAAATGCCATGGTGGCCCTCTCCCCATTGTTGCATGCAGATATCTTAGCAGGATGTTTGGTGTCTAGGTTAAAAGTAGATAAATTCTGGGGAAGGTTAAAACCCTAATGCGATTCATGACCATGACAGAAAAAGCAAAGCAGAGTTTGAGTCAGCTTCAGAAAGAAATGTGGAAGAATGAAGGCAAAAAAGGAAAGGTAAAGGAACCAACTGGGAAATATGCAAATTCCTCCATTTCCAAAATAAACTTTTCACTCTATCAATATGTCTCCCTTTGCACCTCCACTGACAAACCCCAAAGAAAAACCTGCCCCTTAGTAGACCCAGCCTCTTACATGGAGCCCATAGTCCTGTTGAGGGGACTGGAATGTGAGAGGAACAGCCTCACCAACTGGAAAGAAAACTAGGGCTATCAGCACATATCAATCAACATAGTTATTCATCTATAAATATTAATAGACACTCCACGAACACTTGACGTTTGAAAACAAAAAAAAAGAGACTCAACAATACAAGCAGGATAAAGGACCAAGATTAACAAGTGAAACAACTAATCATAAGCATAAAAATTTTAATTCATGGAAAAGAATGTTATAAAAATTCTCCTTAATCCACAGATAAATTATAAGCAGATTGCACCCAAATAAACAAGAACAGGATACTATATTGTATAGTATTGTCAAGATTGTCAGATAACCAAAAAAGTTATTTTTTAAAATTAATTTTTAGTTTTTAAGGGGTACATAGGAGGTGTATGTATTAATGTGGTACATGATACATTTTGATACAAGCATACCATGTGTAATAATCACATCAGGATAAATGGGGTATCCATAATCTCAAGCCTTTATCATTGATTTGTATTATAAACATTCCATTCATACTCTTTTAGTTATTATTAAAGGTACAACAAATTATTGTTGATTGTAGTCACACTGTTGTGCTAGCAAATACTAGCTCTTATTCTAACTATATTTTTATACCCATTAACCATTCCTGCTTCTTCCCACCCCTATCCTTCTCAGCCTCTGGTAACCATCATTCTACTCTCTATCCCCATGAATTCAGTTAATTTATAGATCCCAAAAATGAGTGAGAACATGTGATGTTTGTCTTTCTGAACTGGCTTATTTCACTTAACGTAATGACCTCCAGTTCCATCCATGGTGTTGCAAATGCCACCTTATTGCTTTTTATGGCTGAATAGTATTCCATTGTGTATATATACCACATTTTCTTTATCCATTCATTTACTGAAATTCACTTAAGTTGCTTCCAAATCTTGGCTGTTGTGACTAGTGCTGCAATAAATACAGGACAGCAGACATCTCCTTGATATACTGATTTCTTTTCTTTGGGGTATATACCTAGCAGTGGGATTGCTGGATCATATGGTAGTTCTATTTTTAGTTTTTTGTGGACCTCTATACTGTTCTCCATAGTGGTTGTACTAATTACATTCCCACCAACAGTGTACGAGGGTTCCCTTCTCTCCACATCCTCTCCAGCATTCGTTATTGTCTGTCTTTTGGACAAAAGTCATTTTAACTGAGGTGAGATGATATATTATTGTAGTTTTGATTCACATTTCTCTGATGAGCAATGCTGTTGAGCACCTTTTCTTTTGAAAGATGTCTATTCAGATTTTTTGCCCATTTTCAATTGGATTATTAGATTTTTTTCCTATAGATTTGTTTGAACCCCTTATTTGTCCTGGTTGTTAATCCCTTGTCAGATGAATAGTTTGAAAATATTTTCTCCCATTGTGTGGGCTGTCTCTTCACTTCGTTGATTGTTTACTCTGCTGTATAGATGTTTTTTAATTTGATGTGATGTCATTTGCTCATTTTTGCTTTGGTTGCCTGTGCTTTTGGGGTATTACTCAAGAAATTTTTGCCAGACCACTGTCCTGGAGAGCTTCCCTAGTGTTTTGTTACAGTAGTCTCATAGTTTGAGGTCTCAGATTTAAATCTTTAATCCATTTTGATTTGATTTTTGTATGTGGCAAGAGATAGGAGTGTAGTTTCATTATTTTGCATATGGATGTCCAGTTTTCCCCAAGAAGAGCTTCTAAACAATGAAAATAGTTTGAAGAAAATACGAAACATATGTTTTAGTAATCATGATTTCTAAAAATCTCATGGTAAAGGCCAAAAACTTTTATTTTCTGGAAAAATAATAAAAGATATGGCAAATCAATTTTGAAAAGACAATGTCTATTTAGTATAAGGTCCAGGAAGGGAAAGCTGTGGAAATGGATGGGAAGAAGCTATTAAAGAAATAATAGATGAAAAATTTCTGAGCTAAGAAAAGGACCAGAAAGTATTCAGATGAAGAGGATCTGCTGAATGCTGAACAAAATAAAATAACAATAGTTAATGTTATTGCATTCTTTATATGTGTTGCAATCTTTATAACAATTGCACAACATATTGAATTATTTAATCTTCAATCAACCCTGAGAGCTGAACATTCTCATTATTTTATGATCAAATAAAGCAAAGAGAGGTTTGCTTTGTAACTCACACAAGGTCCCACAATTAGTAAGTGGCACATTCAGCATTAGAACAGAGAGTGTAGCATGAAAAACCATCCTTTCAGTCACAAACGGACTAAAAATATAGTCACAAATTAACTGGAGAGATAAAATACCCAAGTTTAGATAGATCATTGTGCGTGTCAAGGATAAAGAAATGACACTTACTGGTTTGCAGTGAGAATACAGTTGCGTATGAAAGGCTAAAATCTGAGTTACTATATTAGTTTTCTTATCTACATACTTGATGTTGATAAGAAATTTTGAGTAAAAATAATTTTGATCCCAAAAAATTACCATATGGTCCACAAAACCATCAATAAATTCGAACAAAAGGATATTTTCAAACCCGTAAAGTTTTTTTTTTTTTTTTTTTTTTGAGACGGAGTCTCGCTCTGTCGCCCAGGCTGGAGTGCAGTGGCGGGATCTCGGCTCACTGCAAGCTCCGCCTCCCGGGTTCACGCCATTCTCCTGCCTCAGCCTCCCAAGTAGCTGGGACTACAGGCGCCCGCCACTACGCCCGGCTAATTTTTTTGTATTTTTAGTAGAGACGGGGTTTCACCGTTTTAGCCGGGATGGCCTCGATCTCCTGACCTCGTGATCCGCCCGCCTCGGCCTCCCAAAGTGCTGGGATTACAGGCGTGAGCCACCGCGCCCGGCCTCAAACCCGTAAAGTTTTAAAAAGTTTATTCCCTATGTACTCCTTTCTTAAAAGCAACAAAAACAAACCTTAAGAAACTACTATAGCAATATGAAAAATGCATCCAAGAACGACGTGGGATTTAATAAATAGTAGAAATGATCTTGGATTTCAATAAACATCCGGGATTATAGTTGTTCAGTAAAACCAGAAAGCATTGGTTTAAATTAGAATGAGGAGTATCTTCAGGAATGAAATGAATTCTAATTACTGGAAAGGAAGAAAGACTTAATGTCTCTTCTAACAAAAATAGGAAAGAATGACAGTAAAAAAATGTTATAAAAAGTGGCAGTGTGGTGAAATCATGGTCTTTGCATAAAGCAAACCAAAATTTTCAACTATTTTGAGCAATATTTTTGGAGCACTAAGATAATCCATTTGCTTTTGATGCTTGGAGCATTCTTCAAGTGGTGCAGATTTCTAAGACGAGATTACATTTCTTTTCCTACAGATCCAATCATACTACTTGGTTTTACAATTAATAATCTTTACACAATCATATTATACATCCTAATAAATGTGATTCAATGTTTAGAATAAAACTAAAGATACAAAGAAGACTTTGATATATTTACAGGGGAGAATATAAATGTTACAGAACTTGGCAGTATAAAATATTGACGCAGCTGACACAGTGAGGAGGTAAGGAGGGGAAGGTATAGAGGTGTGGGTGTGTGATTTTTCTCATCTTACAATGTGGAAATTCAACCGATACAAAGTCAAGATAGTGGGTTCAGAAATAGAGGGTTAAGAAAAGTATTAAACGTTAAAGTATAAATATGAAAAACATTAAAAGTAAGGTAAGTTGGAGAAAGAAAAAAAGGGTGAAGGGAGAGGGTGGTAGGATAAGTATACACAATTTATCACATTTTAGAGATAAGAATTGATAGTATGTAGTGGTTAAAAATCAAGAAGACCTAATAACAGCAGAATTAAAAGTGATTAAGGGTGAAGAAAGAGGGAGGAACTGGGGGTCAAGAAAGGAAGAATTTGACTTATTTGATCCTCTTCTATGAATATACCTGTGCTATATTTTTCTGTTAATGCAGGTATTACATTTTTGACTAAATATCTTAACAGATATTTTTCTGTTAATGCAGGTATTATATTTTTCTGTTAATGCAGGTATTATGTTTTTGCCTAATATCTTAACAGGCATATTAGCACAGGATGCAAGAGTTAATAATTTTATGAAGGCCAGCTTGATTACATCACTCATTCTTCTTGGCATAGAGATATTGTCCAATACTGCTTTTATTTGATATTCAACTCTTGAGAATTACTGTTGTCTTTGGGTTTCACATATTTTCAATAATGATTTTATTTAATACTCATGCAGTGGGTAAAATTAATACCAGTTAATTTTACTGGTAGAAGATTTTAAATTTAAAAAGAAAAAATGAAACATAATCTGGATTTTTGTATGAATCCATGTTAAGCTTTGCCATCAGTACCAGACTGGTCCCTCTACCATTTCCACTGCTTCCCTTTCAGTCAGGATTGCATTTGCTCTACTGCCTTTTAGACTATCCTAGAAAATTGAGGAGATTCTAAGTCATCCCATTCATGACGATTACTAAGGTTTTTGTCAGTCTACATAAAACTTAGTCGTGTGCCACAGATAACTTTAAAAAACCCAATGTATGCAAAGATTTTGTTTTGTTTGTTGTTCATATGTATTCTTTCTGTTTTGTTTCTGAAATATTTCAATATGTAAGACCAACTATTGGCATCAGGTCTATATCACTAAACATAAATATTAAATGTTGTACTTGAAAAAAACTTTGTGAGAGTGTTAATTTGTAGTAGTCTTAGAAACAACATGTAATAAATGCTACCCTATATGCATTAGGAACTATGGATGAATGTTTGCTAAAGAGAGGATTATTCATATTTTTTTAAAAAGGAAATGGCTCAGTTGTCATCCTAAATACTTTATTTTCCATCCATGTTTACACCATGATGTTATGCCATTAACTGCTCTAGCAAACATAAAAAATTAGGTAGCCATGGATTGTAGTTATTCATTCTTCAATAAAATGAATTATTTTTCAGATATGATTGCTATAATGCTTACTTGTGAACTCTATCTATGCTAAGTAAAACAGAAGAATCATGTTTTCAATGATGGCTGTAGAGTGATACAGAATAAAACATCTCAGTACAGGAGTAAAAGACACAGAATCCAGAGTTGAAAGCTGGCACATGGACAATGCTATTCACTGCGAGTCTTACCAAAAACATCCCATAGGTTCTGGTTCTGTAGTTTACTGACAAAAATGACTATTTCATTCACTTAGAGTGAGGCTCCAGAGCCACCGAAAAAGTGTATGTCAGTTTTGCTAAGGCGTGGCCAAGACACAACCAGAGAATCCCTTTTAAATAAAGTATTTCCAACAAATTTCATCTCTTTGTGCAAATTTTCTGCCAAAAACACTGGGAAGTTATGGCCCTTATCCAGAGATTGTAAAGCATTAAAACAAATGTTCCAGGGTCCAACTTCTGCAGCATTTGCATCCCACCAAGTCACCTCTAATGTCATATCCTTCATCTGATGTTTCTGACACATGAATTACTTATTCTGACAAATTTCTCACCTTGTTTGTCTTAACAAGTGGGATAAATAGAAAACTAAAAGAAGCAGAGAAGAGAACATAGAGAAAATCAGCCTAACAGTTGTTTGTGGCAGTTTAGCACAGAGCAAAGCCATTACTTTCAATGTCACAGAAATATATATATTAAAAATATTACGGGCCGGGCACAGTGGCTCACGCCTGTAATCCCAGCACTTTGGGAGGCTGAGGCAGGCAGATCACCTGAGGTCAGGAGATTGAGACCAGCCTGGCGAACGTGCTGAGACCCCGTCTCTACTTAAAATACAAAAATTAGCCTGGCACGGTGACAGGCACCTGTAGTCCCAACTACTCAGGAGGCTGAGGCAGGAGAATCTTTTGAACCCAGGAGGTAAAGGTTGCAGTGAGCTGAGATCACGTCACTGCCCTCCAGCCTGGGCAACAGAGTGAGACCCTGTCTCAAAAAATATATATATATGTGTGTATATATATATATGTGTATGTGTATATATATATATACATATGTGTGTGTGTGTGTGTATATATATATATGTGTGTGTGTGTGTGTGTGTGTATATATATATGTGTGTGTGTGTATATATATATATTACCAGCAGCAATGGAGTTTAGATATATAGTAAAAAGATGCATTGGGTTATAGATGTGGGGAATTCTCACAGCCCCACAGACAATGGGAATAGAAAAAATATTATGTAGAAATGGGCACTGCAATGAAGAGAATTTTAATATTCAGAGAATTTAATGTATTTAGCTTTCAGTATATTAATATAATAAAGCAAAATTATTTGGGTCAACAGAGGAGGTGAAAATGATATTATTAGAGCATTAGAGCTTGATTCCTTTGAATATGTTGAATGTAACAATGAGTGCCATGATGAATCCTAAATTTGTTTATCTTTAGTTAAGTGAAAGTCTGTTTAAAATGCTTTTATCCTTAATGTATGAGCAGATGTCATTTTATTTCCAATAAATGGTTGGTGGTCTACAGGAAACATCTAGAAATATCTACAAATTCTCTCCTCCTACTCCACAATTTTAAAATAGCAGCCTCTTATTGTGTAAACTCTGGATTTAGAACATAAATACAAATGCTCCTGTGAGGTTTAGAACACACAGTTGTGAATATAACTGTTGGCTGAGGAAGCCCCATGATGGAACAGATTGATCTGGCAGCTGTGGGGAAGAGTGTCCACTCTGTGTGTGAAGTTAAGTACAGAGAGAAAAGGAAACTCATCATCTGCAAGGGGAGGGGATAGGCCCCAGTGGGCACTACAAGTAAAAGATCAGAGAAATTAGGGAGAGAGGAAATGAAAAGTTAAGCAGGTAAAATGGACGTCTGACAAATTCCTCTGCATTTCATATTTGGTAAGCATGCTAAATAAACTTCAGTAAGCATACTAAATACAATGGGAAACATAAATTCAGGAGCACTGGTTCTGATTTCATGCAGTGTAAGTCTGTGTCTCAAAAAGTGCCTCATTTATTTAAACAACAGCATACCAGTTTCTGAGCTGTCCTTTGTTGATCTTTTTCAGATGATTAAAATTACATTATTAATTTATTATTTATGTTCTCAGTCTTTTGACCTATTGACAAAGCCTTCACTTTGTTTCTACTCTATTCTACAGAGAATACCAGCTCTGTGCAAGACAAAGAACTGGTCATATTGTAGGTTCTAGGAAGTACAGCAAAGAACGTAGTCTTTGTGTAAAGAGAAAACCTGGGAATAAAAAAGTTAACCGTATAAAAGAAATTATGCTAATACTAAGTGACATACAGACTCTACAGCGTCTACAATAGGGAAACACTGATAATGGCCTACAGAGGTCTGGGAAGAATTCAGCTGACTCACAATCTGAAGTCGGTCTTGGAGGATGGTCAGATTTGGATCAATGAAGGTGTTGAGAGATGGCATCAGAAGCAAAGGTGGTAGCATAAACAAAAGCCTAAAGGCAGAGATACATAACGAATGAGCATCAGACAGTGATGGAGCCAATCTGACTGGAGTGGAAGGATCATTAATATGAGAAAATCATTAATATGAGATAATCTGATAAATGTAATTTTAGAAGGGATGGTGGAAAATAACATCTCCAATTTCAGACTATCTAGCAGGGGATTTTGTCTAGATTTTGTGCTCAGTCACATGAGAAATCATGATCATGGGTATTCTAACCTCTGTGTTTCATCTGGCTTTTACCATCTGTCTATCCTTTTTAGTCAGATGGTATAACAGCCACCCTTACTATACAATATAAAAAAAAAGTCAATGAATTAGTAGTTCTGTATAAACTATCAACCATATGGTCCAAGTATCTTGGTTTAGGGGATATGTATTTGATTAAGTGTTTAAGAATGACATCGGACAAAGTAGCAAACATAGCAGAATGGCAGGGGATACTGGCCATGGTGATGAAACAGGAAAGGTTCCCTTGTCCCCTTTGTAGGGTGTGTGACAGGAGAAGTGTCTCACTTCTTCAGTGCCCCACTTCTCAAACCTCTATGGAACCATACAGACAGGCAGGTTGTGGGGCTCCGACTCCACAGCAGTGACAAGGGGTGAATGTTTACAGCTCATGAGGCTCCCGTGGGAGGGTGTTATAGGGTGCTCTTTTAGTTTTGCCCTTTCAGTTTTGTTGTCTATAGGTGGCTTGTGTTAACCAGCTCAATTAGACCGTCTACTTTGTCGCAAGGACAGAGGGCTTTCTGTATCCAGGGTTCTTGCCTTGGCGTACGTACCAGAAGAATCAGATCAAACGTGGGCTTGGAGAATGAGGGCAAGGTTTTATTGAGTGGAAGTAGCTCTCAGCAGATGGGGGAGCCAGAAGGGAGATGGTTTTGCCCTGGAGTTGGGCCGCTTGGTGGTCCAGGCTTTCCCCCAACTGACCCAGCCAAACTCCATGTCATTCTGCCAGTTGGTGGCCTGCTGGCTATGCTGGTGCCTGTTGGTGCATTCCTCTCAACGTCCAGCCACCTGTGTGTTCCTCCGCTGATGTGCCCCTCTCGATGTCCAGCTGCTTCTTTGTCTCTGCCTTGCTAGGGTCTCAGGTTTTTATAGGCACAGGATGAGGACATGACAGGCCAGGGTGGTCTTGGGAAATGCAACATTTGGGCGGGAAATGCAACATTTGTGCAGGAAATGCCTGTTCTCACCTAGGTCCGTGGGGGTGGAGCCCTAGCCAGGGACCATGTCCTCCTCTACCCAGCACTTCCCTTCTGCCTCTTCTGTATCATTTAAAGGGAACACACTCTTCCCTTCCCAACACTTCCGTATCAGTGAGAGCTGAGTCCAACTGCTTAAAGCATCTAAATAATGATGATTAATTGTGGCCCACCAACAATTTACTTCTTTTAACTTTTACGTCTGTGATTGTTCCGAAGTTCAGGCTGTTGTGCATAGGCCCCAAAGAGTCCAGACTACCTTGCTTCTACAAAATCCAGGGAATATTCAGAATTAATCTAAAGTATCTTCTCTCTTTAATTATTGCACAACCTTAACTCAATATCCACAATCTTCAGATAACTAGACTTTGTCTTACTATACTTTTGAAAAAAGGCAAGCCATATTAAAATGAGCATATGCTATTTATTTGTTGAATTGTAACAATTGATATATCTTGGGCTCAGCACATTACACACCTCATTCTCTTGTACTTGCCTTATCTAGAGTACTGATAATTGAAATTGATTACCAGAATGATCACTCCAAGAACCTTTAGTATTCTTTTTTATATCAAAGAACTGTTCAATCCTCATATTTATCATGGAATGACTGGAGACTCAGAGACTTGGAATGGTTCTCAACAACATATGATTATCTTGGATAGTTCACCTTTCAAGATTTTACCACTTTTTCCTGTGGGAATGATTTCTTTAGCTACATTCTAGATCTGGCTTTGTTCCTGAGCCCCAATTCCACGTTTACACCTGCCTGCTGCTATTTCTATGCTTTCCTTTGAACCAAGAGAATGAATAAGAATTTGTCTGCTCTCACAGGATTCATATTTTGGCTGAGAAATATTATATATGTAAACAAATAGGCATGAAAGAGACTGAATGTTTATGTCTACACAAAATGTATGTGTTGAAATCTTAACCTCCAAGGCGATGGCATTAGATGGGGCCTCTGGGAGATGATTTGGTCATAGGGGTGGAGCCCTCATGAATGGAATTTGTACCCTTGTAAAAGAGACCCCAGAGAGATCCTACATCCCTTCTGCTATGTGAGGACACAGCAAGAAGTCAGCAGCCTGTAACCCAGAAAAGGTCCTCACTAAAACTCAACTGTGCTAGCACCCTGATCTTGGACTTCCCAGTTTCCAGAACTGTGAAAAATAAATTTCAGTTGCTTATAAGCCACACAGTCTGTGGTATTTTGTTATAGCAGCCCAAATGAACTAACACAAGGAATCTGCCGTATTATCATATGGCACCGAATGTTTTGGGTGGTGCTAATTTTGACAGGGTTTTTAGAGAAGGCCTCTTAGATAAAGTGTCAAGTTATGAATATAATGAGGGAGAAAGGCAAAGGAATATCTAGTCAAAATGTTTTTCAGTCCAAGGAAACTATATGTCATGAGACCCTGAAATGAGATCTGCTTTGTGAGTTTGGCTAACAACAAAGAGGCCAGTGGGAAATAAAACTAGTATTTGGTTACTACTGCCTCTAATAAATATGATGGGAACTTGGTTTGGGCCTTTCTTCTGCCTTCTCAAGGCTGCTACTCTAATTAAGGTCTCAGAACTCCATCTTTGCACCATCACGGGAATGTTGTTTTTTTTTGTTTTGTTTTGTTTTTGCAGGTTGCCTAGTCTTCCAGCTCAGTTGCTTCTAAGCCATCTATTAAACACCATTACCTCAATCTTTCAAAGTATTGTTTCCTTAAACGGCTCTGTTCCAACGTTTCTACGCGTCCTAATGCTAACTCCTAACGCAGGCTTCATGAAGATTTTTCATTAACCCAGCCCATGCTGAGGGATCTCTTTTCTGAATTTTTGTGGAAATACTGGTTTCCACCCCACACACTTTAATACAATGAACATTTTTCATATGCATCCATATTCTCTTCTCACATTGTGACTTCCTTGATGCAGCAACACATTTGTTTTACTTTACCCATTTAGAAAAAGAAAAGCAGATTCAGATTATTATTTATGGTATTCAGCATACTACTAGTTACTCTAAGATTACCATAATCTATAGAAGACTCACCTGTTTATCCTTAATTAAATATAAACATGATTCGTCGCAACTACCTATCTTCTCAGTAGTGCATTCTTTTCTCTGAAAATCTCCTATTGGTAGGAACAGAAGAATGTTAAAATTCCTTTGAAAAAATAGCTTTTGAAACAGTCATATTATATACTTATTATAACTAAAGATATTATAATATAGTTATAGCCTAGAACAACATGGGGATTAAGGGAATAATCCCCCCACCCCCAACACACACACACAGTTGAAAATCCATAAATAAATTTTGACTTTTCAAAAACTTAACTACTGTGATGGTTAATATTGAGTGTCAACTTGATGGATTGAAGGATGCAAAGTATTGCTCCTGGGTGTGTCTGTGAGGGTGTTGCCAAAGGAGATTAACATTTGAGTCAGTGGACTGGGAAAGGCACTACTGAGTGGGTACAATCTAATCAGCTGCCAGCATGACCAGAATAAAAGCAGGCAGAAGAACATGGCAAAACTAGACTGGTTTAGTCTTCTGGCCTACATCTTCCTCTCATGCTGGATGCTTCCTGCCCTCAAACATCAGACTCCAAGTTCTTCAGCTTCAGGACTCGGACTGGCTTCTTTGCTTCTCAGCTTGCGGACAGCCTATTGTGGGACCTCACCTTGTGATCATGTGAGTCAATACTCCTTAATAAACTCCCCTTTATGTATACATCTATCCTATTACTTTGGTCCCTGTAGAGAACTCTGACTAATACAACTACTGTTAAACAGAAGCCTTACCAATAACATAGTCAATTAACACATATCTTGTATGCTGTATGTGTTATATACTGTTTTCTTACAATAAAGTAAGCTAGAGAAAAGAAAATGTGAAGGAAAGCATAATGAAGAGAAAATATATTTGTTATTCATTAAGTGGAAGTGGGTCATCCTAAGGGTCTTCATTATTATTTTCACATTTAGTAGGCTAAGGAGAAGAGAAGGGGTTGATTTTGCTCTCTCAGGGATGGCAGAAGTGGAAGAAAATCTGCATATAAACAGACCCTCCAAGTTCAAAACTTTGTTCAAGGGTCAACTCTGTGTGTGTGTGTGTGTGTGTGTGTGTGTGTGTGTGCACTCTATACAATTATTTTTATTTTTAATCATATATAACAAATATGATTAAAACACCTTTATATAAAGTAGATATTCATTTTAATACTTTCCCACATAAGATAACATCTAACATTTATTAAGCACTTGACAGTTGTCAAAACATACATATTTTATCATATGTGGGTCTCAAAGTACCCTATGAACTATTAGGCAGGGTGTTGTTTTGTCATCATCAGATAAATTAAATGACTTGCTAGAGATCACTCATCTAGTAGGTGACAGGACATATAATTTCTAAACCATTGCTTTTTCACTATAAACCAGAAATAATCTATGTTTCTTCTGAATATGCCATCATTCTGCCTTTCTCATTGATACAGAAAGAGGGAAATTTGGAGAGAGAAAAATAGGGAAAGAAGGACAGAGGGAGAGGAAGAGAAGTAGAGGGAGAGAGAGAGTTAAATTTTTTAGCAGGTTTATTTCATATATTTTCAAACAGTGTTCTGTAGTAGACCAGATGTGCGCTAAAATTGAACTGAGCACAGAAAGCTCAGTTGCTGGCACATATAGGCCCTTAATAAGTGTTTGCTCATGAATGAAAGTGTTGCCATATTTTTCTAATTTGAGTGGATTTTTTAAGACACTCTATCTCTCTTTTTAATGACGGAGATTTCACTCATCTTTTCTCACATTTGGTGGACTAAAAATAACCAGGCATAAGTTTTATTTTTTTACGACCCTCATATCCACTGAGGTTTTACGAGGGAACTCAGAAAATATGCTTTTGGTTACTGCCTGACTGCATCATGTCAAACCTTGTGGTTACATTCTAGAAATTAGCAATGTCATAGCGGAATTATCCATGCTCTCCTTGGCAGCAAGATACGGCCAGTGTCACATTAAAATAGCTAAGCATGATGGATGATAATAAAGGGGAGACTTGGGGGAAGCTGTTTATGGGTTGTTCTCAGAACTGCCTTAAGTAAAGAGAAAAGAATACTCTCACATTTTCATGGTGTATATGCCAAATGCACAGTCACCAATATTTGATAATTACATGAAGATTTCTAAACACTCTAAGAACTTCTCCCATCCTTGGAGGTGCAGCACCCTGTTATGTCTTTGGGGAAGCTTTCCAGCAAAATCATTTCATATAGATTGCTGGTAAATAAGTTGAGATCCAAGACCAGTGTTTATTTGTTTTCTCCTTTGACCAACATATGTAGCTTTATTATTAGGATCCAACATATATGTTGATATAGCACTGATTTTTTACAGCTAGCTGGGAAATGGATTATAAAGAATATCTTATCTGCTCTTTACTTACATCAGCTTTGTGTAATATGATCAGTCCTGCATAGCCATCTCCAGTATTTCATGGGGTGTCGTACATTTTCACTCTGTAGCAGAAAAACAGGTAATTAGGTTTTTTACTTTTTGTGCATGTCTAAAAATTCTAAAAATAATGACTTTCAGGTTATGTACCACTAGCAACTAATAATCACTTGTAAAAGGTCTGATATTGTACCTCAGCCTCAGCCAATTTGGCAAGTCGTTAAAGTCCTAAAAATATCACTTCTGTTGGTCATTATGTTCCCTCTGGAGACTGTATGCCCTTAGTACATCCGCCATCAAAATAGAAGCACTTGAAATTCTCAGCTTATATGTGGGTCAATATTTTGGGATAGATTCACATTCCTATCACAATATCAGAAATTATCAGAGTCACAAAAGTTCATCTGAGCTCTTAATGAATATGTGATCATCTGTCTATTTACCTATCTCTCAACTGTCTACTGTCTCTCTGTTTTTCTCCATAACTGAAAGAAAGCTGGATTTCTGTTGTACAGAATTTTTAGGGATAGATCATATGTTATTAAAGATCTTTTTTTAGTCTTCTCTAGCTGTCATAACAAAATACCACTGACTGGGTGG